>NC_000011.10:31726666-31878181 GCF_000001405.40 Homo sapiens | reverse complement strand
TCAGAGAGTAGGAATATTTACATTGGGTAGGAATTGGGTCTGAAGCTGAGATTTAGCTTTCCAAGTCATTTTTTACAAATTATAGTAGACAGTGTCTCTGCCCTCAAAATATGCATGCATATTCACTTCGACTTAGCAATTTCTCTTTCAGTTGTTTATTCTAAGAGAGTAAGTGGGAATGTGCGTGCTCTACCATTTAGCCACAAGGAAAATCATTATAGTAAACTTTGTGGGAGGAAAAAAAATAGAAACAACCCCGGTTTCTATTTTCTTTCTGGTTTGATTGTCCAAATGTCCAATAATTGAAGACTGATTAAATAACCAAACCATGTTTTACCTATAAGTTGCAAAACTTGTCATTAAGAAGACTGTGTTGGAGAGACATATTTAATGCCATGGGAAGACTTTTGGATCACAGTAAATGGTGGGGGAAAGCAGGTTGCAAAACAGTTTGAATCTTATGGCCCAATGTTTGCCAAGTAGTGATAGAGTGAGTTTTCTAGAGGAAAAAAACACCAAGTGTTAACTCTGGGTGGAAGAATTCAGCTGATGTTTGCCCTTCCTTCTTATTTGTATTTTCTAGTTTTTCTATAAGAAACACGATTTCTTGTAGATTTTAACATTGACTATTTTAAAAATCTTCCTAAGGAATCATTTTTGAAACTCCCATGTTTACAAGTGCCTTCACCCCCAGCTCCTGGGCCATCTCCTAGAGGAGAGGCTGCCTCCCTGGAGGAGTGAGGCTCCAGGGCTGATACGCAGTGATGCACACAGCATTTTCCCATTCCTAGGCTAACAATTGGCCTGTGGTTTTTATGTGCAAAGCTATTTATTTTCCAATCAGAGGCATTGAGTCGGGACTTCTGGGGGTAAACTGGTAGCTCTGGACAGCTTTGAAGCATCACAAGTAGGAGGTTTTGTCCCCTGAAGATTTAGGAGAGCAGGCTCTCTTGGATTGTTTTATTGGCTTCTTTTACATATGTATAGCCCTGGAGCGGGGGTGGAGACATTGCTCGTTGGGGATGGACCTCCCCACAGGCAAAAAACCTCAGAAACCAAGGGGAATGTTGGAAATTTCTCAAACATTGGCCCCTTGCCCCCTACACAAACCATAGCCTTAGAGATCTCTTCTGTTCTTCTGTATTTTCTTCTGATGGATGTAGAACTTAGAGGTAAAGAACATTGTCTTTGGAATCAAACAGACATGGCCTGGAACCATAGGCAAGTTCCCAAACTTCTCTGAACTATAGATAAATTCCTCATCTGTAAAATGGGCCAATAATAGTTGCTATGTTATGTTATAAATTGTTGTAAGGAATAAATAAGAGAATTTTCATAAAAGTGTTTAGCACAGTTCCTGGCACATAGTAAGCACTCATTCAATGGTAGCTGTTATTATTCCCCTTCCTATTCCTTCCTTCCTCCTGTCCTTTCTTCTTTCTTTCCTTTCTTTCTTCCTTTTCTCCTTCTTCTCATAGGTTAAGGCTGAACTAACACAATCTTGCAGCTAGAAGTGAGGTCCCAGCACCAATAGACTCCTGTCTCCATTCACTGAATCTCTGCCTCAGAATTTTGCAAACCCCCCAGCTCCATGTGCACGCATGTGTGCACAAATACACACACACATACACACACACACACAGTAGTAGCAGCAGCAGCAGCAGCAGCTCTGAATGTGGTTTTCAGTGTGGCCTTCACATTTCCCGTTGACTCAGGCCCTGGTGCAGGGACAAATTGGAGGAGCAGAGTGTAAATGTTACCTCTTTGGCTCCTCCTCAAGAGGGGCTGAGCACAGATGTTTGCAGGGGCAAGCGCAGCCCCGTAAGAATGGGGGCATTGTGTGCGGGCTCACACAAAGGACCAGTGGCCCCACTAGGCTGCCAGCCTCCCGAGCATCCTCTCTTTACGCATTGATTTATTAGGCCAGGGATGAATGAAAACGTAATTAATATTACTGAAGCATTAGAGTCTATTTAATTTAAATGCCACTGAATATTTCACTTTCAGCTGGGAGTGACAATGTGCTCAGGCCCGGCTGGTGAAAGCCAGGGCCATCTGTTACCCCGGCGAAGGAGAGAGACAGGGGAGGCCGAGAGTGCGAGGCTTTGTGGACATTCCAAAGGTCCACGATCATCATTCAACTCAAGGGCAGCCAAACTGCATTCCTCTGCACAAGCCCCTCAGCCTGGAGGGGGCTTAGAGAATGGGCAGGAGAGAATGCAGAAAATGAAGAGACCTGCCCTGCACCAAGAAAGCCAGGAAGCTGCAGAAGGAGGAGGGGGAGGAAAAGACACACATAAAGGACTGATTAGGAAATTGCAGCATTTGAGGACTAAGGGCTGACCAGCTAGAACTGCACTTTCCGGCAAGGTAACCGCTAGCCATATGCGACTCTTTCAATTAAAATTAAGATAAATTAAAATAAAATGAAATGAAAAATTTAGTCCCTCCATCCCACTTGCCACATTTCACATGTGGTTAGTGGCTGCCTACTGCATTGGGCAGGACAGTGTAACATTTCTATCATTGCAGAAAGTTCTGGACAGCACTGTTCTAGAAGGCGATTGTACCTACATAATTAGAGGGAGAGTGGACCCAGAAATCCACCTGAAGAATCCTAATTGGTTGATTTTTAGGGCTTTCTGAGCATCCAAGAGTCATTTGATGGTCAAGAGCAGGTGCCATGGTGATAGATCATGTCACTCAAATCCCAGCCCTATTGCTTGCCCTCAAACAAGTTATTTAAGATCTGCACAACTCAGTTTCCTCATTTGTAAAATGGAGATAATAATGCGACCTGACTGTACGTTATTGGGGAAAATAATTATCAGGTATTTCCAACAGTGCCTTGCACACAGGAAAAGTCCAACATACATGAGCAATCATTTATGGAAGGGGCTAAAGAGGAAAATGATCTTGAACTAAAGGAAGAATGTTGCCCTGGTGTGTCTGAGCTAGAGGAACATGCAAGTTTTGAATTTGAGAGAATAAATCTCCAGGCAGCCAGCTGGGGGCCCAGATCCTGGTTTCTGGGTTTCTGGGGCTGGAGGAAGGGGTGTAGAGATCCCAGGGCACTTGGTGCAGCTACAGCAGTAGCAGGAGCAGCAGGAGGGGGAAGGTTCCGTCCTTAGTGGGACGATAATTAGCCCGGTGGGTTCTCTCATAATTGGGATCATTTGTTCTCCTGGCTTTTTCTCTGACAACTGATTCCATGCCAGGGGAAAGCTGTGTGACTCACACCTTGCCATGCCAATTAGCTGATAAACATCAAACGTAAACAAAGATGGCCTAATTAAAACTAGTCACTGAACCTCTGTGAGCATCTTGTCAAAATTGCACCAACATTCTGCACCCAGGCTTGCGCTGGGTCTTGGGAGCTAAATGAGGGATTCCATGGAGAATTCACAGATGTCCCCTCAGGAGGGGCCCCTAAGGTGACAGGGGAAGCAGGCAGAAGGCAGAGGAAAGGATTAGCTCAGCCACTTGGATTGGCCCCTCCGGCTGTTCCAGCTGCAAACCTCCACATGCACACAAGGTTCTCATGTGCACATGTGTCATGTCCTCAGCTGCCCCTTTGCACTGAGAAACCATCTCAGGGCTGATCTTCATTTCATGTATAGTTTTTCAGCTGGGTCCTCTTGTTGGTACTTTGGATGTATTTAATTCTGAAATTCTCAAATCACTCAAAATGAACCTCTGTGTGACTCAGTTTTCCTACTGAAAAAAATGGAAATTATGATACTTGACCAATTGCTACTCAATATCATGGTAAGAATCAAATGAGCCTAGGTACATGAAAGCATTTTGCAGAGATAAAAGCGTGATTCCACTTTCAGTTGTTCTGTCTGGCCCAGTACAAAGAGTGCCGCTTTTGGAATCGGATGCACTTCAATCCAAACCTTTTTTCTGCCACTTACTGACTGTGTGAGTAAGTCACTTCACCATTCTGAGCTTCAGTTTCCTCACCTGGAAAATGGGGCTGGTGAATTGTGCCAAAGTAAGGATTAAAGGGCTTGGTATGTATAGGTGCTTAAAGATGTAGTTTCCTATACATGCTACAGGGCTTGGCATGTATAGATGCTTAAAGATGTAGTTTCCTACCCTTTCACTCCTTTCCAAAAGAGTAGGGGGAGGGCTTATTAAACAGAAGAGAAGGAGGAAAAGGAGGAGGCTTCCTTATCCCCTAGGCTCCATCTGCACATATACCCCTTACTCTCTGCTTTGGTTCTCTGTCCTTATAACTTACCTACATTTAAGTCCTAGCTCCTGGGACTTAATTATTGACAGTTCTTCAAATGCACCAGTCAGCCTTATACCACTGTGATTTTTCCTATGCTATTCCCTTTCCCTGGAAGTACCTTCCCCACTGGGTGAAAACTTTCTCTGTTCTTTTTTTTTTTTTTTTTTAGAGAGAGTCTCACTCTGTTGGCTGGAGTGCAGTGGCATGATCTCGGCTTACTGCAAACTCCACCTCCCAGGTTCAAGCGATTCTCCTGCCTCAGCCTCCCGAGTACCTGGGATTACAGGCTCCCACCATCATGTCTGGCTAATTTTTGTATTTTTAGTAGAGATAGGGTTTCACCATGTTGGCCAGGTTGGTCTCGACCTCCTGACCTCAGGTGATCTGCCTGCCTCAGCCTCCCAAAGTGCTGGGATTACAGGCATGAGCCACTGCACCTGGCAAACTTTCTCAGTTCTTAAGCCTCTGCTCAAATCTCTATGGAGATTTTTCCAACCACCCTCTTCTCTCCCTCCTTCAACCTGGAGAAACAATCACGTGGGCTGTTCCTTCACTGTACACCCTATGTATGTTCAATCACCAAGTGGTAATGTAAAAGTGCATGAATACATGCATGGAATGCATCAATGGTTGAAATATGTGGCTATACCAGTATTGTACCAGTCCCTGCCCTCAAGGATTCAAAACCTTGTGGAAGAATCAGACTTGCAAATTACTTTATGTCTTAACAAGTTACTAGGTGCTTAGTTGAAAGTAGCTTCCCCTCACCTCCGCCTCCAGACTATGAACCCCTAGAAGGTAGGGATCTTGTCTTACACATAATTATCCCCAGCACCCACTACAATGCTTAAACAGAGTAGGCTCTCCATGCTTTTTTGAAGCAATGAGTGAATAATTGAATCAATACGTGAATGAGTTAATAAGCAAACCCTTCATTTTGTATCAGTGATTTTGTCTGCCTTCTGTCCACCTGTGTCATAGTGTCTTTCCAAACTGGCTTTCTGTGGACACCCCCAGGAGGGAGCCCAGTACATTGTCCCATGCAACTCACACCCACTAACGACCTGTCCTTTTGTCTAGTGTAAATCTTAACGTTTTGCTCCCCTCAAAACTTGTCAAAAATAAGGGAAGACAAATAAATAGAAAAGAAAAGAAATCACCTGTAGACAGCCAGCATGCAGCCTTTGGTCTATGTCCCTCCAGACCTCTGCCTATGCTATTTATCTGCACACAGAGTAATGATTATATGCCCGGACTCTGGAACCACACTGCCTGGGTTCAACTCCCTCTTCTGCAACTTAAGGGTTGTGTGAACTTAACTGCATCTGCCATTTTCTCAAGTTCCTTCAGCTTGAAACATTCAATATATCAAGGTGCCATATTTGGGGGCAGCAATGTCCTGAAGCCCATCACAAGGTTCTTAAGCTCTCTGTACCTCAGTTTCTTCACCTAAAAAATAGAGATAATAATGACACCTACTTTGCTGTTGTTAAAAGGATCAATTAAGTTCATACACATTAAGTGTTTGGTGGATAGTAATAACTCAACACCTGTTTACTGTTCTTATTTGTCCTCGTTAGTGGAAACTGCCAGTGCCCAGCCAGCGCCCTGAAGCCACTCATGATAACCAAAAAGCATGCGATCTTGTTGGTGACTCTGAGATGAATCACCCCAGGTTGCAGCTCTGAATGTTATGATTATTTCCACCCAAAGCTGGTCTCTGTGTCAGTCCTGAGAGCAGACCTGAAGATGAAATGCAGTTGTAGCTTAAGACAGTACTAGTTTCACTGAACCATCTCAATGTAAACAAAAGGATTAAAGCTGTTCCATGGCCCAGTTAACACCTCAGCTAGGCCAAGTTTGCCTGGATAAATAGAGATGCAGTTCATTATCAGCCTTCTTTAAGCTGTGTCACCTGAATCAGGAAATACCCCATCCCTGACAGGATGTGGGCCCTTACCATGGCACACCTGCCTGCTCAGCAAAAAGCCCCCTTTGGGTGCCTTAGAAAGGGGCTTTATCACCAGCCTGGTCTTCCGGAGGCGGGACCCACACACTGCCTAGCCCAGAAAGGTGTGGGGCCCTCCTGGCACCAGGAACTTGAGGCTGGTTTTGGCAAGGGCCCTGTTTCCAAAACAATCATGACGGTATTTGGTATACTGGAAGGACTGGGGACTTTGGAGCCTGCCAGGCCAAAGTTTGAGGCCATGCTCTGCCGTTTACCAGCTAAGTAGCTCAGAGCCCCCATTTCCTTATCACATAAAGTGATCCATGTACCTATAGCTGCCAGGCACACAGAAGGTGTTCCTATGTGAAAGCTGTCATTAGAAGCCACCTAGGAGATAGCGGTGGTGATGGCACAGGGATCACAGGGAGCAAGCTTTAGTTCTGGCTGCCTTCTTCCCACTTGGCAGTGGACAGCGCTCCTGGATGAAGAAGCCAGAAGACCCCAGGCTGTGCAGATGGGGCCCTGGCTGAAACGCAATCCCCTTCCTGTCCCCAGGAGCAGGGGTAGCCCCAGCAAGTGGAGAAATAAGACTTCTGAGAAAGTGGAGAAGAGAACTGCCTTCACGGAGGCGCAGAAGGGGCTGCAAGAATGCGCTCTACCCCAAATCTCTCCCACTCCCACCACGAGCCTCATTGTTTGACTTCGGGCTTGGGTCTCTATTCAAATGCAAACACCAGGAGGCGCCTTTGCATTGTGGCCAAACGCACAGGGATAGGATTGACAGCAGCAGCTTCCTTGAGACCGAGAGTTGACAGGGAAGGGAGTGGGAGAAAGGGGCGTGGCGGGCCCTTGCCCAGGCAGCGAGGAGGTAATTCAGAGCCCGGCCCGGTGGGCAGAAAGTGCTCAGTTTTAGCCAGAGTTAGCTCTGCCCACAGGCAAGGCTGTCCCTGCTGCAGGACCTCCTCTCTCCTCCTGGCCACACAGGGAGGACAGGCTCTGGGGAGAGGGCCAGGGGGGATCCTCCTCTGGGAAAGGCAACTAAGCAGGAACCAGGCTGCCTCATCGGTGTCTGCTCTGCCTCTGAGTGACCTTGATCAAGCCTCCTACTTCTCTGAGTCTCTGTTTCCCCATCTGTAAAATGAGGGCAGGAATGGAATACATAGGGTTATGAGAAGGGCTAATCATTAAGCACCCAATCAATGTTAGCTCTGGCTAATTTTCCAGCAGAAGTGTGCAACTCAGCCCTCCAAGGAAAGGGCTGTAAGTCCGTTAAAAACCAGCTGGCCCGAAGGCGACATGGTATCCTGGATTGTGTCCTAGGATAGAAAAGGGACATTAGTGTAAAAGCTGGTTAAATGCAAATAAAGTTTGTAGTTTAGTTAATAATATTACCAATGTTAACGTGTTAGTTTTGATAAATGTACCAAAGATGATGTCAACATTAGGGAAAGCTGAGTAAAAGTTATATAGGAACTTTTTTTTTTTTTTTTTTTTTTGAAACAGGATCTCACTCTGTCACCCAGGCTAGAGTGCAGTGGTGAAATCTTGGCTCACTGCAACCTCTACCTCCTGGGTTCATGTGATCCTCCCACCTCAGCCTCCCCAGTAGCTGGGACTACAGGCACGCGCCACCACATCCAGCTGATTTTGTGTTTTAGTAGAGACAGGGGTCTCACCATGTTGGTCATGCTGGTCTCTAACTCCTGACCTCAAGTGATCCGCCTGCCTTGGCCTCCCAAAGTGCTGGGATTACAAGTGTGAGTCACCTCGCCCAGCCTCTCTGTGCTATCTTTACATCTCTTCTATAAATCTAAAGTAATTTCAAAATAAAAAGTTAAAAAAATAGCAAGAAGTCTTGCCACTCTGGAAAGAAAGCAAACAGCATTCCACAGACACTTCTTAAGGGTAATAGCTCCTATTCGTGTTATTCCACACACATATTCTTCCAAATGATAAATAATAAAATATAAAATAATGACCATTTCAGCACTTACTGTGTATCAGGCATCAGACTGGATGCTTATTATACATCATCTCATTTAGTCCTGACAACAAAGGTAGGTATTTCTGTTCTCATTTTATAGAGCAGGGAAATGGAAACTGATGACACTGTGCAGCTAGGAAGTGACAGAGGATTTCTAACCATTTCTGTCTGCTTCTAAAGCCCATGCTCTTTATACTGGAGGAAGGGGGAAAAATGGAGATAATTGGAGGCTGCAAGCTTTCATCTCAGACCCAACAGTCAGATTTAAGAAGCTGTGCCTCAGTGGGACCAATCTTATGGCTTAGAAACTAATTATTGTCAGAGGGTGGAGGTTATATAGACACACCAAGTACTGCCTGAAAATTGAATTAGTCAAAGTACATCACTGTTGTTTATTATAGCAAAAAATAAAAAGAAAGAAATAGCCTAAATGTCAAGCAACTGGGAATTTTACAGAGTTAGTGATGGCATATCCATACAATAAAATAGGGAACTGTTCAAAGTAATTTTGTATAATTTTATGTGTGACATTCATCAGTTAGAATACTTTGGGCTATAAGCAACAGAAAAATGCAGCTCAATCAATTCAAATTAAACAATAAGTCATTTCTTATCTTTAAAAAAAAAACAACAATATCTGAAACTGCTGTAGTTCCAACCATTATGTGCAGGAATGACAATATGTGGTATTTGATAGGTGCAAAAGTAATTGTGGTTTTTAATGGCAAAACTGCAATTACTTCTGCACCAACCGAATAGAAGTGAGGCTGTTCCTAATTATTCCTTTGTATCACCAAGGATCCCATTTTCCCAAACCTGCCATCAGTCTTGCCATCGCTTTAGCCAGAATTATGTCACATTCTGTCATTACCTCAGTCACTGGCCAGGGGAACGGACTGCTATTTTAGCTAAGCCCAATTGTCTTTTACACTAGAAATTAGAAATAGTGTCTGCTTTCCTGGAAACATGTTGCCTCTCAAAGGAGAATGGATGCCTGAATTAAAACAGGGTTTTTGTTAGGAAGGTAGAAAGGGACAGGCTGGTGCAGTGGCTCACTCCTGTAATCCCAGCATGTACGGAGGCCAAGACAGAAGGATCGCTTGAGCCAAGGAATTTGAGACCAGCCTGGGCAGCACAATCAAACCCCGTCTCTACAAAAAAAAAAAAAAAGTAAAAATTAGCTGGGCATGGTGGAACAGGCTTGTGGTCCCAGATATTTGGGAGGCTGAAGTGGGAGGATATTTGGCCTGGGCAATAGAACAAGACCCTGCCTCAAAAAAAAAGAAAGAAAGAAAGAAAGAAAAAGAAAAAGAAGGGACAATATCTGCTGTGTGAGAAACCAATAGTCTTCTGCTGTGACTATTGAAATGAAAAAATGGGCTAGGTGTGGTGGATCATGCCTGTAATCTCAGCACTTTGGGAGGCTGAGGCCGGTGAATCATGAGGTCAGGAATTTGAGACCAGCCTGGACAACATCGTGAAACCCCATCTCTACTAAAAATACAAAAATTAGCTGGGCGCAGTGGCGGGTGCATGTAAATCCCAGCTGCTCGGGAGGCTGAGGCAGGTGAATCACTTGAGGAGGCAGAGTTCGCAGTGAGCCGAAATTGCGCCACTACACTCTAGCCTGGGTGACAGGGTGAGACTCCGTCTCAAAAAAAAAAAAAAAAAAAAAGAGAAAGAAAAAGAAAAGAAAAAAAAGAAATGGAAAAATGGCTGTAGCGTGTTATTGAGTGTAAAAAGGAGAACGTATTTCAGAAAAACTCAATATGATGATCCTATTTATGTAAAACGATTCATACATTTATGTGTGTAAATGCATACAGAAATATCTTAAAGGATATTCTTCAAAAATTAACAATCAGTTATCTCTAGACTATGAGGTTTTAGGAATATTTTACATTATTTGGACTAGGCTTAATTCTTTGTGTTTAGCTGTATTGAATTATTTGTCATGAGTGTGTGTTTTTCTAAAAAAAAACAATAACTATTTCTTTGGGAGATTTTTGTTGTGTTTTAAATTGGAAAGAACTTTGTGTGGAAAAGGTTAGGAACTGCTGTTTTAGACTTTGGAGACTTTTCTGATGAGTTAAAAATTATAACAGGGGGCTTGTTCGGTTTTGCCTTACAAAATGTTTATTTATTTGCATGCCAGTTTCAAAACAGCCACAAATTCTTTGACATTCCTTCTATTGAAATGTGGAGTCTATGTCACTTCTACCTAAACCTGAATGACTGTCTTGAACAATAGAGTATGTCAGAAATGACAGTGTGTCTAAGTCACAAAAGATCATGCAGTTCCCATCTTGCTCTCTGGAACATGGACACATGGACTTTTTTTTTAGTCGGAATCTTGCTCTGCCACCCGGGGCTGAACTGCAGTGGTGTGATCTTGGCTTACTGCAGCCTCCGCCTACGTGGTTCAAGTGATTCTCCTGCCCCAGCCTCCTGAGTAGCTGGGACTACAGGCACGCACCCCCATACCTGGCTAATTTTTGTATTTTTAGTAGAGATGGGGTTTCACCATGTTGGCCAGGCGGTCTCTAACTCCTGACCTAAGGTGATCTGCCCACTTCGGCCTCCCAAAGTACTGGGATTACAGGTGTGAGTCACTGCGCCTGGCTGAACATGGACTTTTGAAACCTCAAGTCTGCAGTAAGAAGTCTGACTAGCTGCGACCATGTTGTGAGGAAGCCCAAGCCACGTGGAGTGGCCACACGTAAGCCACTCTGGTCAACAGTCCCAGCTAGGCCCAGTCAGGTGCCAGACATGTGAATGAAGAATGATTTTAGTCCCCAACCACTTGAGTTACCTGCAGCCATTCAAGTCTTCCCTGCTGAGGCCCCAGATAATCATGAAGCAGAGGTGAGTCCTCCTCACTGTACTCTGTCCAGACTCTTGCCCCAGAGAAACTATGAGCCTAAAAACATGGCTATTATTTCACACAACTCAGGGGCCATTTGTAACACAGCAGCATACAATGGAACAGTTTGTTTGTCCACGTGTTTATTTTTAATGCTATAGATCTGTTCTCCAAGGCACAGGTATGGAGGCCAAAGGTTTGTTCTTGAACATGTCAGAGAAGCTGAGGGCAAGAAGATGCAGGGGGTAGAAAGGCATTGGGAGTCACAAAAATTTTCCACACTCAGGCTGGAGGGACAGGAAGGATAGAGGCACACATCACTGAGACACTACTCAGATGGGAGTAAGGCAAGAAGGGTGAGGTTTATGTCACCAGTGTTACAGGCAACACGAGGGAAAAGGAGACATCTTGAGAAATGGCTCAGAGCAGCATGGGCTGCTGGGAAAATCCAAAAAGCACAAGAGTTGTCGAGACTGAGAATAATTTCCACCCATCAGCTGGGTGACTTTGGGCAAATTCCTCAACCTCCTTCCAAAATAGAGAGCCCTGACAGTCTAGGGAACGTTCATGAGCTCAGCTCACGTGTGTGAAGTCCAGTGGATGTGTGCACAAGGCCTCTCCCCTGCCAGGGGGAGAGATGTACTCCAAGGACAAACACCTCCTTTTTTGTTTTTGTGGTTGGATTTAAGATTGAAGATCCCAGTCACTTTAAACTGTATATATATAGTGTATATATATATACACTTTAAACTATATATATAGTATATATATATAGTAGTAGTCATTGGCTAGGTAGGAACACGGTGAAGAGGAAAGAGAAGAGAGTGTTGGAAAGGGAAGAAAGTGTCAGGAAAATAGCAGCAGGCAGGAAAACAGTCTGGTCAGCATGGAGACTGTGGTGCCCTGGTTAGGAAGCCCGACCGACCTGGAGTCAGAAAGACCTCGGTTTCACCCTGGCATGGCTTCTTCCTGGCTGGGCTGCTTTTGAAAACCTCCCCGGACTTGGGTGTGCTCCTCTGTGAAAGGAAGAGGCTGATGAGCCAGACCCGGGAGGGCTGTGACCACATTAGTGTGCTCTGAATTCCAGCACCTGTCACGCAGAGGGGCTGATGGCATGTCAGCGCCTGCTTCCTGTGCACACCTCCCTCATTCTACAGGCCAGCTGGACTTTTTTTCTCAGCAAGAAAGACCCTCTGTGAAGGCCTGACCACTTTCCTATGGAGATCTCTGGGCATCAGCCACTCACGTTAAATTCCCACGTGAGCTCCTTCCCCAAACAACAAGAGGGCACTGCCCATCTTCGCCTGTTGCCTTCTCTTCTCGCCCCCTGCCACCCCTATCTGACTGGTGGCCTCAGTTTCCCCACACACCCTGCTGGCTCCTGTCCTCAATGCTCATGCTCTGGGTCCCCACCCTGTGGCGTGCTCCCCTTAGCCTCACCTAGTTACATCCACCTAGTTACATCCTTCCAGGCCCACCCTGAGCCACCAAAACAGCCCCTTGCTGATCTTCCAGCTCCATGCCTGAGCCCCAGGGCTTACTGCCTCACAGCTGCCAGAATGGTTTCTTTTTAAACACACAAATTATATCATGTCACTCCTGCCCCAAGACCCTCCACAATAGCCTGCATCCTTAGAATAAACCCTGAAATTCCTTCCCCAGCCTCCAGGCCCTAGCTATTCTCCAGTCCCTTCTCCACCACTGTCCCCTCCCTCACCACTCTGCAGCCATGCTGGCCTCCTCACTATCTAGAGGGCACACTGAGCCTGCAAATGCTTTCCCTAGCTACCCAACACCTGCCATTTTCTCCTGGTTAGGGTCAAGCCTCAGACTCCCTCATCTCTTCAGAGAGGCCTTTTGGGACCACCATCTGACCCCACTCAGCTCCACTCACTTCCACCATTTTATCTTATCAAAGCTTTTTTGTAGCTCTTATCCATATCAGAAAATATCTGATATATGGATTGATTATCTGTGATTAACTATACACACACGCACACATATGCATGAGACAGGGTCTCCCTCTGTTGCCCAGGCTAGAGTTTAGTGGCACCATCACAGCTCACTGCAGCCTGGAACTCCTATCCTGAGCTCAAGTGATCCTCCCTCTTCAGCTTCCCAAGTAGTAGGACTACAGACACACACCACCATGCCCAGCTAATTTTTAAATTTTTTGTAGGGACAGGGTCTTGCTATGGTGCCCAGGCTGGTCTCCAACTCTTGGCCTCAAGCAATCCTCCCACCTCCCAAAAGTGCTGGGATTACAGATGTGAGCCACCCCAACTGGCCAACAATATACAATAACAGCAATCAATTATTACTATTATTGATTAACAAATTCAATATTTCTATCCAGTAATAGTATTCTGAGATCGGTCTCCCTCCACCAGAATGGAAGCCCCTTGAGGAGAGGGACTCCTTCCTGGCCATCTTTGCATCCCCAACACCAACAACGGCTCATAAGTGTTGATTGACTTCCTACTTGAAGAAGCTCCTCCTGACTGTCTGCACCCTCTCCAGCGTCTCCATCTTTGGAGTCCCTGAAGTGCTGATTTGGCACTACTCCCACATCGCTTACAGTGGAACTTTGCGTTCAGATGCGTCCTGGCTCCCAGGTACATTTTAAGTTTCTCCATCTTCAGTGTCTCTCTGACCCTGCCCCACCCCCACATAGTTCCTAGCACAGGGCCCTTGCACAATGTAGATACTCAAAAAAAATGTTATTATTTATCTGGTTGGCTGGTTGGCACTTTTATCCTCTCTTCAGTCCCCATCTCACTCCTTTGGGCTGAAAGTTTATCCCTGATTGTTTTCCTCCTGTGGTTAGTGTCACAATTACTCCCTCTTATTGCTTTGATTGTGATATGAACTTCACTCTCTGTGAAAGGATGCTCACAAGGGTTCACTTAGGAAGTGAGTTTCCTAATTTCATGTCCAATGTAAACAGAGGCAAATATGTAATTATCAAGCATTATTACCACTTGTAATTACCCCGACTTCTCAGTCAACATTGTGAACTAAAGAAATGAGCGTGAAGAATGGAGTGTTTAAAATTTGCCCTCTTGTCCCTTAAAATATTTACTTTTCAATCATGTCTCCAAATAGTTTAATTATGTCTGGTTATCTAATTAGTGCATGTGTGTGGTATTTACAGGCCATCCAGAGTAAAGCTTTGTAACTTTCCAAATGTCTGCATTTCACTGAGTGTCCCATCAAATATTTCCAAGTATTCATTTCCAAGGCGCTGTTCCTAGACTGCTAAACACCACCATCAACAGCATCTCTGTAGCAGTTAAGAATCTTCCTGAGTTAATTCACTGAAGTATTTCCCAGGAGTCCCGCATATTGAAGGGCTCCACTTATAGACCAGAGTTTTTTTTTCAGTGTGGCCCAAGGGCTGCCATCAGAATGACGTGGAATACTTTTCAAATGCTGATTCTCTGGGTCAGGCCAGAATTGTCAAATTCACATCCCAAAGGAGAGAGCTAAGTAATCTGCATTTTAACAAACTCCCTGGGTCAGTCTCATTCACACTGAAATGTCACTGAGAAAGCCACTTTCCCGCCCTATCCTGGACCTGTGTCTTGCTTCCATGTCTGCTGTGGAATAAGCAAAAGGAATGTCAATGCAAACAAAAGCACAGCTTCCTGTAGAACACTACAAATCTGGTCTCTTGGAATTCTGAAATATGTCTGCCAGAGAATCAACAATGATACCTGTGCTAGTTAGAATACCAGTTAGTTGGCTCCTACAAAAGCCAAAGTAACAGTGGCAGGCTGGGCTCAGTGACTCACACCATTAATCCCAGCACTTTGGGAGGCTGAGGCGGGTGGATCGCTTGAGTCCAGGAGTTTGAGACCAGCCTGGGAAACATGCCGAAACTTCATCTCTACAAAAAAATACAAAAATTAGCCGGGCTTGGTGGTGCACACCTGTAGTCCAGCTACTCATGAGGCTGAGGTGGTAGGATTGCTTGATCCTGGGAGATTGAGGCTGTAGTGAGCCATGATTGCACCACTGCACTCCAGCCTGGATGAAAGAAGACCCTGTCTCAAAAAACAAAAAAAAATCACCAACAACAATAAAGTAACAATGGCTTAAAAAGACAGATTATTTCTCTCTCCAGTAACAGTTTATGTGCATGTATTAGTCCATTTTCACACTGCTATAAAGAACTACTTGTGACTGGGTAATTTATGAAGGAAAGAGGTTTAATTGACTCACAGTTCTGCATGGCTGGGGAGGCCTCAGGAAACTTACAATCATAGTGGAAGGAGAAGGGGAAGCAAGGCATGTTCTACATGGCGGCAGGAGATAAAGAGCACACAGCAGAAACTGCTGCTTATAAACAATCAGATCTCATGAGAACTCTCTCACTAGCATGAGAACAGCATGGGGGAACCGATGTTGTTCATGACCCTATCACCTCCCACCAATTTCCTCCCTGTACGTATGGGGATTACAATTTGAGATGAGATTTGGGTGGGGACACCAAGCCAAACCATCAGTGCAAGCAGGCAGGGCTGATGTGATGTTGAAGACTCTTCTATCTTGTTGAGCTCCTATACTCAACACACAACCTCTGTCTCTTATCCTAAGATACCTGTCCCAGATCCAACCACCCTGTCTATATTCCAATCAGTGAGAAAGGGGAGTGGAGAGTATGGCCCTTCCCTCTAAGGGCATAATCCTGAAGTTGTACACATCACTTCTTCTCATACTCTTCTGGCAACTTCTAGCTGCAAGAGATATTGAGCAATATACACCCTTCTCTTTTCCTGTGCTCAGAATAAGTTTGGAAGTTCTACTAAAAGAAGAAAATACATGTTGGATAACAACTAGCAGTCATTTGCCCAAGTACCTTCCATAAAGTAATCTGACTCATCAGGGATGTTTGTGTGTGTGTCTGTAACTCAGTATTCCAGTACCCTTCTGACTACTTTCAAATTCAGCTACTTTCTTTCAGTCATAGGGTTGCCAGATAAAATAGAAGACACACGGTTACATTTTAATTTTAGGTAAACCACAAATAACTTTTAATGTAACAGTGTCTCGAATGTTCAGATTTAACTGATTATTCTGTATTTTTATTAGCTAAATCTGACAACTTTATGTAATCAGGGACCAGAAATTGAGATACCAGGAAATAAACATGTGTTTTTCATCTCAAAGAGCGGGAAGTGGGTCTTTTTAGCAGTTCTATGCCAAGAAGCCTGTTCATTCCCTCCTAAATAATTGGGTTTCTGCAGTGAAATAGTCCCTCCCATGGAGAACAGAGTCAAGAGTTGGGAATGAACCATGAGGCAGCGGAAGTGTAGACAGTGTGCAAACAGGTGGAAGCTGTCAATGAGAGCCAGGATGGGCACAGGGCAAATCAGCAGTAGTAGACAATGAGAGCACCTGTGACCTAGAGAAGATGACCCAAATCAGAGAAATCAGCACATTTTGTAGAGCAGGCATAATTTCCAGGGAAAACAGACCGATTCCGGAAATGCATGAGCACAGGCAAAAGACAGAGCAAGCCATAAGATTTTGCAGCAGAGGCAACAGAGACCTCAAAACAGAATAACCAGACTGCAGCTTTCTAGGGAAGAACCCCTGGTGAACAAAATTTTGTCACAATTTAAGTAGTTTACAAACCCCAAAAAACACACTGAGCTTAAACGAACCATCTAGATCAAACCCCCAAGTTGTAGAGTGTGTCTGTAGGGCACCACTGTGGAGGCACTTGCTGGCTGGGACAGTAACCAAGCCATCCTGGGCCAGCTGTTTACAACCACTGCCAACCCTTGCCTTATTTCCTCCACCTTCATCTTCCCCAGGTGGGACTGACAACAAGCCCTCCTGAGTTCACCAGCCCCATTTCTGACAAGGTTGGAGTGGATATGGATGGCCTTCTCCCTAGGCCTCACTCTGAAACTCTTGACCACGCCCCAGATCTTGCTGCAGGGTCCCAGCTACAGTGGCCATCATGGTTAGTCTCCTGTGCAATTGAGCAGATCCTGTGTTTGAGGAACACGCCAGGGGACTTGAGTCCCAGGGTTCCTACCAATAGTTTAGATTTCTGCTGGAAACCGAGAGCCTCAACCTGAATACCAGCAGGGACTAGGGCTCAGTTCCCTCCTGTAAGGCTAGGCTCTGTTCTCTAAGATCCCCTACCTGCTTCTGGGGTCCTGCCACCTGCAGACTGAGCTCATAGTACACCTGCTCCCTCTGAACTGGACTCCTCTTCACATCTTGCTCTATGATGCTGTCCCTATCCACAGGGATAGTCATCAGAACTAGGCCTGAGATTGCTGCGCCTATCAGTGGTTCTCCGTCAACAGGGGCACATCAGAACTGCTCATGGGGCTTTTTCAAAATCCAAATGACTAGGCCACACCCTAAACCTACTGGATTGGGGAAAGGTCCATGAGTATGTGTAGTTTTTGAAAGTTCTATAGATGATTCTGATGTGCTCCCTCAGTGAAGAATCCCTGCTCAAGACACTGCCTAGAACTAGGGAAGCTTCTGTAGCAGGCTACAGCAGGCTACAGCAGGCTAACTCCCAACCAGCCCTCTCTCCTTCCCCTCTGCCACTGTGATGCCAGAATGCAAACATGCCTTGCCCCTGAGTTATGACACACAGCTCCCTGGGGATAGTAAGTGGGGGAAGGGAGGTGTGCAAATTTAAATTAAATTTACACTTGTCCAGCATGTTAGGTGTAAGTTAGCTCTTTGTTAAGACCAGATAAAAACTTCCCATGGTGAGAGTAATTTATTCTCAAAAATATACCTAATGAATTAAAGTCCCAAGTTAAGGACTATAGATAGAATTGTTGGCAGTGACTGCAAGTGATCTGAGCCGTCCTACTGACCATTAGGGCTCAGGGACTCCTTACTATCCTCCATTTGTCCTGCCTGTCCTGAGCCCCTCTGAAAATTGAGGCTAGGTGGGACAGAGAATTAGATAACTACTGTCATAGAATATGGTGATTACATCCATATAGCTACATCTATGCATATATTAGCTACAACATACAATCATATTGACTATCAATCTCCTTGCCATAGAAAATGAAAAGAGAAAACACAATAGGAAAGCCACATTTCCTTTTATTTCCTCCCATCACCTCAAGCCTTGCTCAGCATCCCTAGCCCTGCGGTGCACTCCTCAGACCCAATCTCATCTCCAATTCTCACCCTTCTACTTGGCTGGGTCTCTGGGACTGTATATTGATGTGCCACCAAGCCAGTCATTCAATATGATTCTGTCAGTTCACTGCGTGTTTAGTCAGCACAACACCAAGCATCAAGTTTACCTGTTTTCATTGAAATTAACCAGGCATTTTTCTGCTGGAGATAGTGAATCAACATGGTATATGTAGACACAGCATGACCTTACATTATAATGAAAGCTGCCCCTGTGCTCTGTTTGGCAGGAGTGAAGGCTACTTTTCCTCAACTTCCTTCTAGTTGCCCTGTGCTCTTCACACTCAGCCCCTGGCTCTTCAAACTCAATTCATGTTACTGTCACCAAGAGTTTTCCCATTTCTATCTTGGAACCTAGAGAATTAGAGATTGCCCTTTGAGACACATCTACCCACTCATTCATGCATCCATTATTCAGCACTTACCAAATCCAAGATATTTGAAACACAGCACTTATTCAGATCTAGAACCTAGATGTAGTGGCTCACGCCTGTAATCCCAGCACTTTGGGAGGCCGAGGCAGGTGGATCATCTGAGGTCAGGAGTTCGAGATCAGCCTGGCCAACATGGTGAAACCCTCTCTCTACTAAACATACAAAAATTAGCTGAGCGTGGTGGCAGGCACCTGTAATCCCAGCTACTCAGGTGGCTAAGGCAGGAGAATCATTTGAACCCGGGAGGCAGAGGTTGCAGTGAGCCAAGATCATACCACTTCACTCCAGCTTGGGTGATAGAGTGAGACTCAATCTTAAAAAAAAAAAAAAAAAAAAATATATATATATATATATATATATATATATATATATATATATATATGTATATATAAATATATATATATGTATATATAAATATATAAAACCTGAACTGGGGTGCAGTGTCAATAAGAGTTTTTAGTTGAAGACTACAGAATCCTCTGTAGTGTAAGTACAAAGGAATTTACTAATTTACTACAGCTTGCAGAATTTCCAAGAGAGTCAGGCTTGGATGTTACACATCCAGAAAAAAACAAAAAGCCTTGTCATCAACACCTCGGGACTATCCTAGCAGTATCCCTATTTCTACACTCTCTGTTGCTAGAGGCTATAATACCAGAGACTGAACACTGGCAAAGCTGCCACCTGGTTTCAGAAGAATCAAATGCCTCTACCATCATGCTTGCCAGGACAGCCTCCCTGTATGTGGCCTCCATCTTTGTTTCTCACTTCTACCTCCACGTGTCAGGTAAACAAAGCCATTTCCTCAAACCTTGGTCACATCAGCTTACTGCAAGAATTTCTCAGAATATGGTTTTGTCTTCCTATCCTCTATAGTAACGAAGAGTATAAAAGGGGGAGTTTGTGGATGTAGAGAGAAGGTCAGAGGAGATTTCATGGGTGACTAAATGTGAAACCTTGAAAGGTAAGTAGTTGTTCACCCAAAGGATAAGAAAATCCAGGCAGAGAGAAAAGCTTGAGTTAAGACATGGATGCCTGGAAGAATAGAGAGGTTTGGGGAAAGATGAGACATTTAGTATGGCTGAAGCATTTGTGAATGTGCTGAGGATGGAGTCGGGGGAGATAAACAAAGACAGAGGAGCCAAGAAAGTAGGCAATGACCAAACTGAGAGAGGTCCTGTTTGTCCTTAGAAGCATGGCTTCTCCCTGACCAAGCTCAGATTCGGGTGGTTTCTCTAGAGCTAATCAAAGCCTGCAAACTGTCAATTAGGTGTTTCTGCCCCAAACATAGACCCTGACTTTAATCTTTGCCTTGTACAGTAGCACCATATATAAGTCCATTCAGGGTGCTATTAAAAAAAAATAGTACCGGAAACTGGGTGGCTTCTGAAAAACAGAAATTTATTTCTCACAGTTCTGAAGGTTGGGAAGTCCAAGATCAAGGCACCAGTAGATTCGGTATCTGGTGAAGGCCTGTTTTCAGATAGATGGCAACTTCTTGTTCTGTCCTCACATGGTAGAAGAGGCATGGCAGCTCTCTGGGGCTTCTCTTTTATAAGGGCAATAATCCCATTCACGGGGCCCTACTGTCATGACCTAATCACCTCCCAAATACTGTCACCTTGAGGGAGCAAGATTTCAGCATATGAATTTGGGGGGGACACAGGTATTCACACCATGGCATCCCTTAACAACATTGTCCCTACTGGGCAAAACAAACACACACACATCCATGACACTTTCAACAGAGTTGGTTAGTTCCATAAACAAAGAAGTGTTCTCTTCATCTTTTCAGAATATTTCATTTGTTCCAATATTCAAAAGTATAAAGGCAAAATATGATCAAGATGACTTTTCTGTTCAACTACCTCTACCTTGTCCCAATTTTACGACACTTTCCCTAACAGGGCCATGTTGTTACACTCGAAAGGGGACTCAGCCCTCCATTGAGGCAAGGTAGGTATTGCTTCTTTGTCACCTTTTGAGGTGTCTTCTCAGTCACAGTGTTCCTTCCTTCTCTGAGAAACACACCCTCTCCTCCCACCAGGGCCCTATATAATTCTGCCTCTGGCCAAAACTGATTGAACTGGGTTATGAACACTTGACCCAAGCTGAGCAAAGTGGATTCTATTTCCTAGAAATTTAGAAATCATTCATTCTTCCATTCAACAAGTATTTATTGAACCCTGACTTTAAATTAGGCATTGTTCTAGGAGCTGGGTCTGTAGTGGATACCTTTTCTCCTGAGACCCCATTGCATTATTCTGGGTTCAGTTAGACAACTGTGCTTCTTTATGCATTCCCTCTCTTTGTTTCGCTGACTTAGTAGGTGTCTATCCTTTGCAATAACAACAAAAAAAATCCTTTCTAAGACAATTTCACATCATTATTCATGATGGGAAATGCCTTATTTTCATTCTTTAGGCTTTCAAAGCCCTTTTCCCATGGTGAAGAACCTGAGAAATCTCTCCAAAGTTTTAATTAGGTAAATTTTTGTTGATTGCAATCAAATTTGATCTAAAGAAATCTTTAATTTTGAGCTTGAGACTGTTATCCAATATAGGATACCACAGAGAACATTGAGTAATGTATCAAAGCCTTCCACTGGTGAAGATAAACCAAAATCTCTGTCTTTTATTAATCACACAATAACACTTCTACAGAGAGAGAGAGAGAGCACGCCTCTAATAGACTCTTGTGTAAGGAAGCAAAATAGAAAAACAGAAAAGTTGAGTGATTAGAAACATGTGGTTTGCAAGACAAATCTGAGTTTAAATACCCCTTCCCCTAGTGATCTTGGGGAGTTTCAAATCTATAAAAAAAAAAGAGACAGTATTACAATATTTCACAAGACTATTGTGAAAATTCAAGTAAGTAAGGATGTGTATAAAGACCCTAGCCCATAAATGGTCATCACTAAATAGGTAGTCATTATTTATCATTGGGATCTTTATTTGTGAGCTGCAATGGATATGTAAATAAATATAGGTATGTATGCATGATGCACAGGTATCCACCTGTGTATAGCAGTTGCACTATTTCCCTTGCCTAAGGAGAAACTGAAATGATAGTTTAGGCCAAGAGATGATTCAGACCCATGTGTATGACTAATTACAGTACTTAACAAGAAATTGTAATAATATCCATTGGTATAGCTAGAGGTATGAGTTTCTGCTAACTCAGGATCTAGTGTCACCTTCAACAAACTCCCCTTATTCTGAATGTATCTAGAAGCTCTAAATGCTTTGCTGGAAACTGAAAGGGTAGAGCCTTAGTTCACAAGGTCTTCTATAACAAAATACCATAGATCAGGTGGCTTATAAACAACAGAAATTTATCCTTATGGTTCTGGAGCCTGGGAAGACCAAGATCAAGGTGCTAGTAGATTCTGTGTCTGGTAAGGATTCATTTCCTGGTTCATAGATGACGCTTCTTTAGTGTATTCTTGCACGATGAAAGGAGGCAAGGCAGCTCTCTGGAGCCTCTTTTATAAGGGCACTAATTCCATACATGAAGACGGCACCTTCATGATCTAGTTGCCTCCCAAAGGCCTTACCTCCTAATATCATCACATTGATGATTAGGTTTCAATATATGAATTTGAGGAGGACGCAAACATTCAGACCATAGCAGGTAGGGAGGGAAATAGGATGGTGATTCCATTTCTCTACTACCCAAAGGCTGAGTGATATCAGGGAAGGAGTGTAGAACTCTTCTTTACCCCCAAGGTCTTGGAAAATGACTATTTGGGAAACCAGTAATGATACCATGTGTGATCACCACAGGTGCCGCACACTGGGCCAGCATTCAACAGTACTATTATGGACTGTTAAGGGTCACCAGTTAAAAGTGCTGACTCTGAAGTTTGACTTTCAGAATTCAAATTTTGACTATGCCACTTGACTTTGGTCTAGTTTCTCAGCTTCCCTCAAATGTGGCTCTCCCCTTATATAAATGGCCATGATGATATTAATGTGTGCTGTACTAGTTTCCTGTGACTGCTGTAAAATATATTAGAAACTTGGTGGCTTAAAACAACAGAAATTTATTCTCTCCCAATTCTGGAGGCCAGAAGTCCAAAGTCAATTTTATCAGCTGAAATCAAGGTGTCAGTAAGGCCACAATCCCTCCAGAGGCCTTAGGGCAGAATCCACTTCTTGCCTCTTCCAGTTCCTGGTGGCTTCCCGAATTCCTTGGCTTGTGGCCTCATTATTCCAATTTCTGCCTCCTCCATGGTCACATTACCTTCTCCTCTTCCGTATGTCAAATATTCCTCTACATCCCTCTTTTTTTTTTTTTTTTTGACAAAGATTTTCACTCTTGTTGCCTAGGCTGGAGTGCAATGGTGCGATCTCAGCTCACTGCAACCTCTGCCTCCTGGATTCAAGCGATTCTCCTGCCTCAGTCTCCTGAGTAGCTGGGATTACAGGCATTCACCACCATGCCTGGCTAATTTTGTATTTGTAGTAGAGATGGGATTTCTCCATGTTGGTCAGGCCAGTCTTGAACTCCTGACCTCAGGTGATTTGCCCGCCTCAGCCTCCCAAAGTGCTGAGTTTACAGGTGTGAGCCACCGCACCCAGCCTTACCTCCCTCCTATAAGGATGTATGTGATTGCATTCAAGTCCACCCTGATAATCTAGAATAATATCCCCATCTGCAAAGACCCTTTTCTTTGCCTATAAGGGAACATCTACAGGTTCCAGGGATTCTGACATGGATATCTTTTGGGGGGCTATTTATAGGCTACTACATCCACCTTGTAGTCTTATTGTGAGAGTCAAATGAAATATACCAATAAAGCAACAATATACCAATATACCAACAGTGGCAACATTGGGAGTGTTTAGTAAGAATTATCTGCTATTACCAGGAAGATGTTGCTGACTGCAAGGTGATCTTGAAGGAATTTAGCCCAAAGAGGGACAGAGGAAGACAGGAAGGGAACTGGTTGGTGGTAGCTGACCTTCGTCAATTGCACATGAGAATCCAAATGTTTTATGTTGGTACTCATTGCCTGTGACTTTCACAAACACCTCTGTAGGGCATAACTCCTTGTGTGATTGATAAGTTGGGGGGATATTGTAAGGAATCCAGAAATTGATGCCAAAGACTTTATTCTCCTGTTCTTATTAATCCATATTTGAAAATAATGTATTCATAGGAATTTTATTTCTACTCAAATTCCAAAATGAATAATCAACAAATTCTGATAAAGAAAACCTCCTTGTTCTGGAATTTTTTTAATTTTTCATTTTGGTTTCTAATTTCTTCTGTAATATTTGAAACAATCTGGGCATATTTGTCTACTCAATATTCACTTAAAATTGTTCTTTGTTCTGTCACCCAAAATCCCTGTTGGTTTCAAAGGGAAGAATAAAGATCAAGATTGAATATTTTAATAGCTTCCCATTTTCCCATAGCAATGGCAGGTAAGCAGTCAACACTGAGAATAAATTGACAATTACAAAGCCCTTTCTGAGACATTATTTCATTTAAACCTACAAATAATCCTAGAGATGGACAAGTATCATGAGTCTCTCTCTCTCTCTTTTTTTTTTTTTTGATCTAGAAAATGAAGTAAAAAACTTAAGGCTCAGAGAGTGAAACAACTGAATGAAAGGCAGAGCTGGATTGGAACTTGAGGATCCTGACTTCTAATGACACCATTGACGAATGAGAGGAAAAGAGGTTGGAATAACGTAACCTTGAGTGAAGACAAAGGGTTGACTGGAAATTCAAGCCTGGAAAAGTCTGAAAGAAGAAAGGCAAAGATGTAAAATGAAGGAAGTCAAAATTCCAAGTCAACCTCCTGTTGGCTTCTGGTTTAAAAATGGGAAGACTAGATGCCAATGAGCCAGTGATGTGATGCATTTGACCACGTTCCCTTTGATTCCTTCATTGAGCCCAATGAAACTGCCTTCACACAATACAGGAAAGGGAGTGCATGATCTTATTTGCTAGCTCTTTTTCTTAACCACATCCTCTCACCTGGGCAGGTATCTGAGCAGGTGAGAGATTTTTCTCATGACATGGATAATTGACTGCCCTTGTTTTCTCCCAGAAACATTTCTTCAAGAAATTGAAAGCCAGAGCACATACAGGTGAATCAGGAGTTGAAGACAATGCTGGCCACACTGATTTTAAATATTTATAATTATATAAGTGGCAGTTATAGAATAAGTGTACCCATATATGTGTGTTACTCAGCTCCTTTTTCATGCTATAATTCCCTCCTCCTTCCAGGAGGGTGTCATTTTCCAAATCAACTGCATTTCCTGTTTTTCAACTTTTGCAGCATTGCTTGAAGCACAAGCTATAGGGCAGGTGATATTACAGTTACCAGTCTTTGTAATGACAGGGCCATCAGCATTGCATGAAGGAATGAATGGACTCATTGAAACAATCTAATGCAGAAAGAGAAATCAGGTGTGAAACTATACATTTAGGATCTCAAAATATACTCTAAAGCAGTGGTTCTCAAACATGGCTGCATATCACAATTACCTCAGGGGCTTAGAAAGCAAAGCAAAACAAAAACAGAGACAAAAAACAACTGGCGAGTGGGTCCCAAAACAGATAATTGAATCGTAGTTTCTATAGGCGAGACATTGGCATCAGATATCTATGTGTAACCAAGGTTGAGAACCAGTGCTTTAAATAAAGGACTCAATGAAAAGAAAATAATACCAGAACTTCACTGCATATCCTTTATAGAGGACATAAAGAATGCATACAATAAAATACATGTGTATATATTCATATTTACATTAAAATATAGCATAAGATTGTAAACAGATCCCACTATAAATATGAGCTCAGTATTTCTCAATAAATTATTCTGAGGTCTTAGCACTTCTATTATTGTTACAGAAGATTGGGGAATTCAAGTTCAAGTTCAAGATGACTGACTGCACCTCTGTTTATTTTTCCTCTCTCCCCAAATGCTCCAACTGCATAAGTTCACTTTAAGTTTCTGCTTGTGTTTTGTCTGGCCAAAAGGAATCACATGGCCAAACCTTAAGACAAGGAATAGAGGCATATACTCTGCCCACTGTGAGACTCTGCCCACTGTGAGACTATGGCAAGGATGCGGATATTAAAATTACCATTGGTAATGAAGAAATGAAGGCAAAAATTCTGTCTACCATGCTAGATATCAGTAAACAGGAACCAGAAAAAAGACAAGAACTAGAACTAGTAGAATGGTGAGAATGTTATTATTAATATATCTAAACACATTACAAAGATATTTTCAGTGTGTTAAAATTAGGGGAGGCTGGTGAAAGGTACCTGGGAACTATACTATCTTTGCAACTTTTCTACAGATTTAAAATTATTCCAAATAAAAAATTTAAAAAAAAATTTAGGACTTAATTATGATTTCTAGGAAAATATCAACATCTAATACTGTCATTATCAGGCTGACCACAGTAGTTTGTATCCTGTGATTGTCACAGGATTCATAATACCACAATGAGACTATTTTTCCATGGCCTAACTCTGGGTAATATTTAGTAACCATAATAATAATAGTTAATGCTACTAACTGCATGCTAAATTCTGTGCTAATCATTTACATGCATTATTTCTCTAAATCCTCAGTGAGATTTTCTGTGTAGCTACCATTATTATCCCCATTTGACAGATGAGGAAACAGTGAATCCGAGAGGTAAAATGACTTGCCTAATATTACACAGCTAGATGATGTCTGAGCTGAAACTCAAACCTAGATCTAGCTAATTACAGAGCCTACACATTTAAGCTCTGTATTATGTTATCACCCAAATCTACTGATAGCAGGTAAAGTTCTGCTATAATTCCTATATCTGAGATAAGAGAATCTGCATCTGTGAGATAAGAGAATATCTATTGTACATATCCAGTGTGTAGGTGTAGCTCTCATCAGAATTAGTAGAATTAGTAGTCTGTGCCTACTCCTTTCCCTCACTCTCCTCCCCTAACTTTCAATGCATTTTCTTTCTCCCAAGTGTTCCATGTTGTCTGGTCATTTCCTATTTGGAAATTACCTGATAGGTTAATTCACATTAAGTTATGAAAGATTACTAGCAGTTCCATATGTTAATCCTTCCAGGAGTAAATCAATTTAAAAAGAATATCTACAGACAGTAGTCTTTATCCAAAAATCAGAAAAATGGTAACATTTACCCACTGTGGCACCTTAACAGGGGAGATATTTGAGAAAGAGGACCTTAAACAAAAAAGCATACTGAATAAAAATCACCTACTGCATGTAAATTAATGTGTACAGGGCACTAAAATTGACATGAAGGAGAGCTGAGACCCAAGAAATAAGATTTGTCATCCCCTCTCTTCAGAGGCTTATCATCTGGTCAGAAATACTGAAGCATCCAGGCAGGGCGTAGTGGCTCACGCCTGTAATCCCAGCACTTTGGGAGGCCAAGGCGTGTGGATCACTTGAGGTCAGGAGTTTGAGACAACCCTGGCCAACGTGGCAAAACTCCGTCTCTATAAAAATGCAAAAATTAGCTCGGCATGGTGGTGGGCACCTGTAATCCCAGCTACTCAGAAGGCTGAGGCAGGAGAACCTCGCTTGAACCCGGTAGGCAGAGGCTGCAGTGAACTGAGATCGTGCCACTGCACTCCAGCCTGGGCAACAGAGAGAGACTGTCATAACAACAACAACAAAAAGAAATACCAAAGCATCCACAAAATCATATAACAAAGCACCCATAATGCGGTACTCAGCATTTTCAAAGGAACCTTAGAAGAGTTGAAATGATGGACCAGGTTCACAGGCCCAAACACAAGCCTGATTTAAAATGTTCCTACTAAAAACAAGTGTGGTGGTGGTATGCCTTTTATTTGTAATAGAGTTCACTTTTTTTCTTTTTTTTTTTAATTTTAGTGACAGGTCTCACTCTGTAGCCCAGAATGGAGTGCAGTGATGCAATCACAGCTCGCTGCAGCCTTGAACTCCTAGGCTCAAGCGATCCACCAACCTCGGCTTCCCTGAGTAGGCAGGACCTCGGGTGCATGTGCCACTGAGCCCAGCCTACATCTGAATTTTAATAGCACTGTTTCTGAGCTATTATATTAGCATTGATGTTGTCATTTTTGTTAAAGGAAGACTTACTGTGTACAAACTCACTTCCTCACACTTTTTAATTTTTCTCTCCAACACTCCTTTGGGGTCAATTTAGATGAGGAAGCTGACTGAAAGGGCAGGTATGTGCCCAAGGTTTTACCGCCAATAAACAGTGTCTCCAGGTTTCAAACACTGCCCTCCACATTCCTTGCCTCTTCTCAGCTCCTATCAGTGTGTGGCCTCCATGGCATGGATCTAATCAGGAGACAGAAGCTACACGAGTAACATGAACAAGGACTATCTAATATTAAAAAGGTATTAACTAGTAACAGGGGATTAAGTACTGAGGGGATTTAGTTGTATACGATTGTTCAGTGTTCTTTAAGGATTCCTAGTGTCCCAAGTCAAACTGTTAACTCAAGGCAAGAAAAGTGTTTGTGCTTCTGTTATATTCCCCTACGATGCCAAGCACAATCCTGGGCATAAAATAACTCGGGCGTTCACACCCAAGTTCAAATCCTCACTTTGCTACTTACCAGCTGGGTGACCTTGAGCAAATCACTTAGCCTCTCTATAAAACAAGGATAATAATGCCTATATTAAAGGGTTATAGAAAGAATAAAGTGAGATAATAAATGCAAATGACTCAGCTAAATAAGTGGTGGCTACTACTGCTACTACTATTATCATTATTAAGATTCCCTAGTTCTTCTTCTGAAATGCTGCCCAGTATAATAATTAGGATGATATTTGAAAATCAACAAGACATCCTTTGACCTCATTTGCAGGCAAAACTGTCCTTTGGCCTGCCGTAAGGAACTACCGTATGTTACTCAGCCCTATTTTGAGCATCAGCTTTTTTTCTTTTTTTACAACAATATTTAACGTTAGTGTCAGCTCAATATCCACCCTTCCTTATCAAAAATCTCTCAAGCACCACCCTAGTGAAAGTTGGTTTTCTTTAATCCAAGGGTGATATTTCTGTGCCTGGTTAACTTTCCTCTAGCTTTCAACATGAGCCAATTGGCTTTAATCACAGGATGTTATTGAAAAAGATTGGGAAGATTATGGGTAGTAATAGAGATAATTGCAAAGGAGAAACAAGAAAAAAAATTAATGAATCTTCCATCTCAGGGAGAAATAAATGGCTTTATTATGGGGTCAGGAGGGATGATCCTAAAATTCCCTGTCCAAGAGAAAATGCATAGTGGTAGTTTGGGAGTTGGAGAATTTGGCAGCCACAACATCCATGAATCAAAACAGCTTTTAAGGGACAACCTCAGGGGATTGCATTTCTATAAAAGGAATGAGATGTTTTTCTTTATGCTGCTGAAAATGCAGAATCAGAGCCGACTAGAAGCACAGCTAGCTCCTTTGTCATTATATGCAAAGGACAAGAAGAAACATGATGTTCCACTATAATAGGGCCATAGGCAAAAATCTCTCCAAGTTTTCTGAAACTATTTGGGCAAGTCTCAGGAAGCAGAAAAAAAATATATTTTAACATAAAACTTTGTTCAGAATGAACTTTTCTTGGCTATTGTCTCTATAATAATGGAAAGCTTTAAATTTGAGCCCCACTTCTCCTTCTTCCAAATGCACAAAGACCAGCCGTCTGGAGTTGTGGTTGCTCTGAATGGCATTTTAGAACAAGCTGGGAATGTGAGTGGTCTCACACTATAGGGCACTGCAATTCTGCACAGAATGTCCCCAGGACTGCCAGTCAGCAAGTGCTTCACGGACCTTGATTTTAAGTAGAGGAGCTGAGGTCCCTCCTGCTTTCACTTAAAGCTTACCATGAACTCTTAAAATCCTGGTGATAGAGACTCAAAGAAAGGCTCAGAGAGAAGATAACATGAATACTAAAGATTTCATTTTCCATTTACACTGAAATTATTGTCTTCTCATCAACTGACTTATTTTAGAACTACCCTCATTTCTCAGCAATATTCAATGTTATATTTTTCCTCAGTAATTTCTTCTATACTTAAATATTAATACTTGGATGTCCACTTTGTGCAAAAGGAGAAAGCAAGGACCCAGAAATGATGTGATTGCTTCCGAGCTCTCCCAATGTTGGGGGTGGGGGAATCTGAGCACCCCATGAAGCCCACCTTGGCTCTTCTGCTTCCCAAGGAAGCCTAGTCAGAGAGTCACCTGGCCTGAGACTGACACTTAGGGGATTTCCTGGCAATATCCTGGGGAATGGCAGCTCCCTAATGGGAGGAATCTAAATCCAGTGCAGTGGACAAATCCTACCAAGACACAGAACTTAAAATGAGATACTGACGTTTAGGCCCCAACATTATTGCCCATGCCCCTGGAAATTGCTTCACCCTGATGAATTTATTTATGAATGTGGAAGGTTAAATGTTCACATTTTTAAAACGTCATGTGTCTTATCAGGATCTTGGATTCATCTTCAGTTAAGGCCTTCAATATATAAAAGTTAGTTTCTACACTGGGAAATACTTGGAAGGCCAGCATTACAAGAATGAATGTGTGGATATAAATAATTACTGGAATTTGATTACATCACTCACTCTTTCCACCAACTCCTATTCTTAAAAGAATGGTATCTGATTGGAATTGTTAAAATATTTTCATTATTTCTCCTCAAGAGCAACATAGACTTCAGGCTTAATTAGAATGAAATCGGTACCTTGAACAAATTCTATTCAATGTTAATTTACTGACTAAGAGGCCATTAATATATAATCCATAATACATATATGTGTGTCCCTAATAGCATAATTTTTTTTTTTTGAGATGGAGTTTCACTCTTATTGCCTAAGTTGGAGTGCAATGGCATGATCTTGGCTCACTGCAACCTCCGCCTCCCAGGTTCAAGCTATTCTCCTGCCTCAGCCTCCGGAGTAGCTGGGATTACAGACATGCACCACCATGCCTGGTTAATTTTGTATTTTTAGTAGAGACAGGATTTCTCCATGTTGATCAGGCTGGTCTCAAACTCCTGACCTCAGGTGATCTGCCTGCCTTGGCCTCCCAAAGTGCTGGGATTACAGGCGTGAGCCACTGCACCCAGCCCCTAATAGCAGAATTTTTTTAAATTGCAGCCCAAGTCACAACATTTGGATTTTAAAATCCACTACAAGGATGAGAAAATCCATTTATTGTACTAAACTCATTGAAAGCAAGTACCTTTTTAGTAACCAAAGAATGCACACCCTTGGGGAAGGTAAATTGCAGCCCATTTCCTACTCAGGTAATTACATTCTCTGCTGGTTTTAATTTCCTTCCAAGCTTCTGTGCCATACGCAAGGCTCTCCCAGATTCGGCTTTGAAGCTCTAGACTCTGGAGTCCATTAAAGAATCGTCCCCACTTTTTCTGAGCAGCTCCTTCCCAAATCCCAGGCAGAATTATTCTTATGATGGGTTTGACTATTTATTCATGTGTCTGCCATCCAGAGCTGAGAGCTTCTTCCTGGGGGGCCCTATCTAAGAGCAATCACAGCTTATTACCTGTCTATCTAAAATTCAAGCCTGGATAGCTTTTAATTTTTTGGTGCTTAATGTAAAGAAAATAGAATTGCTTTTGGTTGATTCTGCCAAACTCCACAACGCATGTACCTGTCTTATTTTCCAATGGGTATTAGGAGGTTAGCAGCACAAAACTCTCTATCCAGGAACCAGTGCAGTGGAAAAACTGGGTGAAGGGCCACATTCCATTCTATGGCTACTAGCTCTGTGACTATCTGGTTAACCTTACCCAAGTTATTTAAGGTCTCTGAGTATCAGTTTCCTCATCTTTCAAAATGGGTTTAACACATGATTTTTATAAAAAGAAAATGAAACTAAGGGTGTAATATCGTACACATACACATATGAATGTAGGGTATTATGATCATTTAGAAAACACAAAGCTAGTTCTTGAAAGATATACATACACTGTGCATCACGCTCACCCATCAGAGCATTACTTTATTTATTTACTTATTTATTTATTTTTGAGACAGAATCTGGCTCTGTTACCCAGGCTGGAGTGCAGTGGTGCAATCTTGGCCCACTGCAACCTCCATCTCAAGCGATCCTCCCACCTCAGCCTCCTGAGTAGCTGGGACTACAGGTGTGCAGTACCATGCCCAGCTAATTTTTGTATTTTTAGTAGAGACAGGGTTTCACCGTGTTGGCCAGGCTGGTCTTGAACTCCTGACCTCAAGTGATCCACCTACCTCTGCCTCCCAAAGTGTTCGGATTATAGGCCTGAGCCACCAGGCCTGGCCCAGAGCACCACTTTACAAACATTATGGGGAATGTTATAAAGAAGTTTGTACCAACTATCTCAAAGAAAGTTTTTTTTTTAATTTTTAAATTGTCAGATAAAATTGAATATATCATGTATAACATGATGTTTTCAAGTATGCATACATTGTGAAATGGCTACATCTAGATAATTAACATGTGCATTACCTCACATAGTTATCATTTTTGTGGTAGGAACACTTTATATCCTCTTTCTTAGCAATTTTCAAGAATACAGTATATTGTTAACTATAGTCACCATATGGTACAATCGATCTCTTGAACTTATTTCTCCTATATAAATGACATTTTGTATTCTTTGACCAATATTATAGAAAGTATATTAATAGAGCTATAGTGAAATCTTTAACAAAAGTACAAGGTTTTAATAAAAATGCAAGGCAATGCTCTCTTTTCCAAATTTTGGCCTATGTTAATTTGTCAGTAAAGGCCAATCTGGTTTCCTATAGTTGCCTGAGCCTGGAAGAAGCACGGTTATACCTTCATTGACAAACAATTTCACTCCCTCTATAAATCAACATCATTTCCTCCTGGCCCCCTCCAAGATTCAGCAGGTGTCATAAGGTTGCCAGGTAGAATAATGATTCAGGACCCACAGACCACACTGTCTTATTGAACTGCTCCCAAGCTCACTGGCTCTGGGACCAATAAATCATTGCTTTACAAGTCATCTGGAATGCAAGGTACAGCACAGAGTCAAGAGTCAAGGTTCCATGGTACTGTTAGGAAGTATTCATTATGGGGGTGGGTATTTTAATTTTTTTCTCTTTTTAGTCACAAAATAACCTTTCTCTTAATCCTTTGAATGGCTTTCTATGTGCATGTTTTTTATCCTCTGAATATTTAATCATCCCACATCAGTGTTCTGATACCATTGTCAGATACCACTGTTTTTTTCTCTTTATTTTGAAGCTCTTCCAGAGCCCCTGCCATTTGTTAAAATGTAGAACTCAGGATTCTTTCTGGTGTGGCTTCCATTTTATTCTATCCCACTTCCTATGGAGATTACACACTCAGTAAAGAGTCGGCCTGTTTTTGGTGTCCCTAGCAGATGGAGACAAAGTTATTTCCCACTTTTGCTCCAAGAAACAAGGCAATGTTGGGTTGCCAAGTTTTTGCTTTTTTTTAAAAATTGAGCAATTAGAAAAATGGTAATACCAATCTCTCCCCTTTGTAGGACTTTTACAATTTATAAAGCTCTTGTCCCTCCATTCGCCACCACCCTGATCTCTCCTAAGAGAATTGACTATAAAATGTGCTTCTAGATGCCAGAAAGAGCATAGGAGAGGGATAATAACTTTGTGTTTTAAGCAACATTTAAGACTCCAGAAGTAATGAGATTTGCTAATGAAACTGAAAACACAACAAGCTTCTCTGGGTCTTATTAATTTCTGCCTAAGTATTTAATTATCCCACTTTGTTGACGGTACTTCTTCTGTTATTTTTAACTCTCCCATCTTAATTTTCATAAGAAATATCCGAGCTGAAAACTTTACAGTGTCCTTATAAATTAAGAGCTGTGGTTTGACCTTAAAGTTAGGGCTAGAAAAAGGTCAGCGGGAGGGCAATACCTCATTTTCATTCCTCTAGGATGAATAGTCTTTGACATACGAATAATGTTTCAGTTACTAAGAAAAACAAACGTGGGCCCAGCACAGTGGCTCATGCCTGTAATCCCACTACTTTGGGAGGCTGACGCAAGAGGATCACTTGAGCTCAGGACTTTGAGACCAGCCTGGGCAACATAGCAAGACCTCATCTCTACAAAAAATAAAAACTTTTAGCCAGGTGTGGTGGTGTGCACTTGTAGTCCCAGCTACTCAGGAGGCTAAAGTGGAAGGATTGCTTGAGCTCAGGAGGTCGAGGCTGCAGTGAGCTACGATTGCCCCACTGCACTCCAGCCTGGGTGACAGAGCAAGAGCCTCTCTCTAAAGAAAGAAAAAGGAAACAAGAACTAAACTTCAAATTTCAAAGCAGTTTATGAACAAGAATTTTCATTCTTTGTACAAAAAAAGAATCCATGGACACTGTGATAATAAATGTAGGGCAAGCAAGATCCACGATGAATGCTAAAACAAGTGGGTAAAACTTTCAGGAGAGGCAGGACAGTTGCATAGCCTTGAGGTTAATTCCCTCAAAGTAAATAGCTGTGGTGATTCTAACATGTATCTACAAATCATTTGATTTTCCTTTCTCCAGGAGATGGAACTTAAACTCCCCTACCCTTGAGTGTGAGCTTAACCTAGTGACTTGATTCTACCAAATAGGCTATGGAAAAGGAAGAATTGACACTTTACACAGCAAAATCTGGTAGACACTTTAACCAAGTGCCCAAGGTTAACATTGCTGTAATAAGATGCACCAACATTATGTATTTTATAATGTGATGAGATGAGAGGAACATATCATTTCTGTGACATTCTTGCCCCAAATCTGTAACTCCAGAAATCATGAGAAAATGCAGATAAACCCAAATTGAGGGACATTCTACAAAATATCTGACCACTAGTTCTCAAAAGTGTCAAGGTCATGGAAGACAAAGAAAGAGAAAAAGGGGAAAAATTATAAATAGAAAGAGACTAAGAAGACAGAATAATTAAACACAACATAGTACTCTGGATTGGACACTGTACAGAAAATAAGACATTAATGGCAAAACTGGTGAAATCTGAACAAAGTCTGTAGTTTACTTACTAGTAATGTGTCAATGTTAATTTCTCAGTTTTGATAAACGTATTATGGTTATGTCAGATGTTAACAGAGGAAACTGGAAGAAGGCTTTACAAGAACCCTCTACTATCTTTGCAACTTAAAATTATTTCTTAAAACATTCTTTTAAAATAATCTACATGATTATGGGCACATTTAATATAAGGACAAGCAAAGCTAACATTCATTCATTCTTTAATTCAGTTTGTTCTATATACATTTATTGAGTGCCCATGCTCTGCCAGGAACAGTTCTAGGCACAGAGGAGACCATGTTGAACATGACTGAGGTGCCCACACTCATGGAACTTACAGCCTAACAGAAATAACAGGTATAATGAGTGATACAACAGACAGGTTGCTATGGGAGTATATACCAGGGTACCAAACCTGGGATCAGGGAAGGCTTCCCTAAAGCAGCAGATGATTTCTCTGAGATCAGAAGTTAGTGTTAGATGGGGCCTAGGGCTGCCTGGACACGGAGGGGACCCTTCCAGGCAGAAGGAACAACATGACAAGGACCTAAGGAAGGAGGAATCAGAAAGAAAGCCAAGAACTGGGGTTAGAGGGTATTAAACAGGATCTGGATAGAAAGGCCAGGGCTAGAACATGTAGGGTCTGATAGGTCAGGAAGAACGATATGGGATTTTGTTCTAAACTAACGAGAAGCCACTGAGAGAGTTTTAAGTAAATTATGTAACTGTGTTGCAGTCTATTCCTCTTAATTTGTATATTTGCTAGAGCTCTGAGTCAGTACAGTACTGTTCAAGTTCGGGAGTGGGTCAAATTTCCTAATTGTTGGCTGGGCGTGGTGGCTCATGCCTGTAATCCCAGCACTTTGGGAGGCCGAGGCAGGCGGATCACAAGGTCAGGAGTTCGAGACCAGCATAGCTCATATGGTGAAACGCCTTCTCTACTAAAAATACAAAATTAGCTGGGTGTGGTGGTGTATGCCTGTAGTCCCAGCTGCTCGGGAGGCTGAGGCAGGAGAATCGCTTGAACCTGGGAGGCGGAGGTTGAAGTGAGCCGAGATGGTGCCACTGCACTCCAGCTTGGGTGACAGCGAGACTCCGTCTCAAAAAAAAGAAAAAAATTTTTTCCTAATTGTTAGTAAGCTTTCATAAGAAACATGTCATTTATTTTCTACTCTGACTTCGTCTCTGCTTTCAGTTCTTATTTTAGAGGTGGGGAGGGGAGGAGACATTTAACTAATTGTACCGGGATCTAATACCCCAGGAAACAAAGTAACCCCATCATTGATATAAGTCATAGTTCAAGTTGAACCTTTGTTATCCAAGGACTCTTTTTGAAGGGGAAAAATGGCAACAGAAGGCTTCTCATGGGCATTTTTGCTGGTGCAGGGAACCTCCCTTCTGTTGCCATTTTTCCCCCTCAAAAAGAGCCCTTCGATAACAAAGATTCAACCTGCTGCTTATCCCAAAAGCTCTTTTACCTTCAGGCAATCAGTAGAGTAGAAATCTCCTTTATTGACTGAGCTATATTGTAGGTGAGAGGCAGTCTGAGCAAGTGAAGATATTTACCACTTGACCCCCCGGAACTTGAACAACCTTCCCCTTTGAGGGTGTTCTCCCCACTGTCAGAGTCCTGGTGGGACGCAGAGCCCTATCTCCCACTATAGATGCATAAGAATTAGGAACATAACTTAGATTCAGCTATCTTGAATCTTAAGTAGATAATGAAAAAACACAAGGGGTAGAATTCTTCCTGGTGGGGATGGAGTACTGTCAATCCAGTCCAGGGACATTGGTGGTAGCAGTTTCAGCAGAGGTGTCCAGAAACCAGACAAGTCCTATGGCACGATTTAGGCTACAGTTCTGCTGCCAGCCCCGCTTGGCTGCTCCATATTCGTTGATACTAATTCTCTGTGGGTGATCCAGTATCTTCTCAATAGGTTCTTTATCTACAGGTCTTTTTCTGGTATTGGTGACCAGGAATCCTAGTTATAATAATAACTTACATTGACATAGCCCTCATTATTTGTCACACACTATCCCACACACTTTGCAATAAATACTATTGCCTTTAGTGCTAGTAAAATAGAGAAATAGGTTTCTCTGCTGACAGAGGGAAGCCATGTGACAGAGTAATTTACTTTAATAAGAAAAAACTAGGCTGAGTGCAGTGGCTCACACCTGTAATCCCAGCACTTTGGAAGGCTGAGGCAGAAGGATTGCTTGAGCTCATGAGTTCGAGACCAGCCTGGGCAACATGATGAAACCTCATCTTCACAAAAAATACAGAAAATTAGCCAGGCATGGTGGTGCACACCTGTAGTCCCAGCTACTTGGGAGGTTGAGGTGGCAGGAAGGCTTGAGCCGGGGACGCAGAGGTTGCAATGAGCTGAGATCACACCACTGCAGTCAAGCCTAAGCAATAGAGGCAGACCTTGTCAAAGAAAGAAAGAAAGGAAAGAAAGAAAGAAAGAAAGAAAGAAAGAAAGAAAGAAAGAAAGAAAGGAAAGAAAGAAGAAAGAAAAAACTAAAGTGTGGACTGAAGCCTTTTATCAGCCTAGAGATTAAAAATACTTTTTTCTCTAATAGTAAGAAATTGGAAGTAACCTGAAATGTCTGAGAATGGGAAAATAAGTGGGCAAATTATAATGCCACCACTCAAGGGACTAATATGCAGCCATTTAAAATAATAATTAGCAAAACTGAAATGTAAAATAAGAAAAGCTTGTAGTTACAGTGGAGTAAAAATATGAAAGCAAATTGCCAAGAAGTCGAAGGATTACATAAACATTCAGGGCTGTTTTGTTAGGGTGGTGATTATAGGTGAAGATACCCCTCTATTTCTAAACTCCCTCCAATGTTGTTATATTGTATTTCTAATTTTAAAAGGAAACACACTTTCCCTCACTCTATATTTATCCCAGTGCTCCAGGATGACTCTTCTCCAAGTGTGGGAAAATCCCTATAATCATCCCCTTAGCAACCATTTAAGACAATGAACTTCAGGGCCACTTCTAAGTCTATACGAACAGGGTGGATTTTGACCCCAATATTCAACTGAAGTTTTCAGTACCAAAACCCCGGATATACCAAAATTTCAATGCCCATCACCTTCTGTTCTGAGGTTAAAACCCTAATCCAGATGTACATATTTGGGAATGTGAACCACCACTTCTCTGACCCAATTATTTTTGATGAACTACAGTTTTCTGCTTCACACAAGGAGCTGGGAGATCCACTTCAGTTCATGAAAAGTTGTAGAAACAGAACATCACTCCTTTGATTCACACTTTTACCTTCCATGCAGGCTCATTCCCAGAGGTCTTCTATACTCACAACTTGCAATGTTCTTGTCTACGTTCCCAACCTTCCTTCCTATCTCTCTGCTTCCCAGGCTTGAAAACCTACCTTCTGTGTGAAATCTTTCCCAGTTCCCTAAGGAATTCTCCCTAAGACACCAAAAAATAAACTTAATATTAGTTGAACTACTTATCAAATGAAATGAAAAATTGCCATTTTTGTAGGTAAAAACTAGTCTAATGTCTACAATTTCATTATTTTTCTTTTGAGATGGAGTCTTGCTCTGTTGCCCAGGCTGGAGTGCAGTGGCACAATCTCGGCTCACTGCAACCTCCGCCTCCCAGGTTCAAGCGATTCTCCTGCCTCAGCCTCCCAAGTAGCTGGGATTACAGGTGCCTACCATCCTGCCCGGCTAATTTTCGTATTTTTGGTAGAGACAGGGTTTCACCATGTTGGTCAGTCTGGTCTCAAACTCCTGACCTCAAGTGATCCATCCACCTCTGCCTCCCAAAGTGTTGGGATTACAGGCATGAGCCACTGCCTGTAATAATTTCATATTATTCAGCCTAATTAATAGCAGGTAGCATCAAATACAGTGTATAACTTTGGTGGCCCCAGTGGGTCATACTCCAATGACTCTGAGGTCTCTTACTATTGCCCTTCAGGATCTGCAGGGTTCTAAGGTCTACCTTGACATTGGTTTTAACAGGTGAGTACCACATCTACAAGTTGGATATCTTTTTCACATGTTCCAGAGAGTCATAGTTTGCACCTAGCTGAGACATTTCAAGAAAGGAACTTTGAAGTCACTTCTGACCTGGACCCTGCTAATTTATCTAACAGGGAGATCTTACTAAAAAGGGCTACTAACTTGTTCTGCAGAATCACAGAGCCTGATTATCTTTCAAGATTAAAAATGCATGAGCCCTGTGATGCATCAGTTCTACTTCTTGATCGTTTGTCCAACAAATACACCCACATTCACGCAAAATGTTGTATGTTTAAGAATATTCATTGCCATTTTGGTTGGTAATAGCAAAATACTATTTTCAACTGGTTAATAAATTTGACACATCAACACAGTAGAATACAATAATGCATCTCCAAGATACTGTATTAAGTGAAAAAAGCAAGACAGTGTTATGGTATGTTTCTATTTCCATGAAAAGGTGGAGCAGAGTGAGTGTGTGTGTGTGTGTGTGTGTGTGTGTGCATGAACACATGCATAATTATATGAACACAGAATATTTCTAGATGGATATACATGACAATAATACTTGCCTCTGAGGAGGGGAACTGGTTGGTATGGGAAAGGGAAGGAGACATCTTTCAGTGTATGCCATTTGGTACATTGTAAATTTTCTCCCACGTGGATCAATTATTTATTTTAAAAAAGTAATAACTTTTTAAAAACCTAGGTTTTTCCTTAACCGTATAACATTAAGAATGAAAAGTACAATCCTGGTTTGATATTGACTGAAGGATAAGTCCCTATCATTGACTCCTCATATACTTAGGATGACTCAGGCCTTATACACCTGGTTCATTCCAACCCTCTAAGAAGAGGTTGAAGTATTTATGCAAAGGGCCATGTCTTCAACGACATAGAACTCCAGGACCACCCTAAAGCTTCCTCAGTTTGCTCCTTCAAGGCTTGGGGGAAGGCAAGATCACATCAAGCAAATTAAGCAAGATATACATACAGATCTGTGTGTGTGTGTGTGTGTGTGTGTGTGTGTATCTATTTATATTTATGTTTAAAAGCACCAAGAACAGTGTCTGACCCATAGTAAATGTCTTCAAATTTATAGAATATTAATCCACCTCTACAACATAAAATTGCCAAAATTCTTGGAAGTAGAGCATTCTTCTGAGTAAGCAACATATCTCCCCTATAATTTTGAAAGCCATTTGAAGCCCAAATGAATAAAGATTTCCTATTCAAGTAGAATCATTTTTTAAGTGCTACAATGCAAGCACATCAAAACCTGAAATAGTGTTTTTTAGGGTTGTTTTCTTTCTGGTTTGGTTTCTTGCCTTTACCCTCTAATTGCCAAGTAAAGCTAAATTGACATTAATCTCTTATGCAAAGGACCACATATTTAATCTTCAAGCCGATTTTAGATATGAAGCCTTTGAGGAAAGAGTGGAAGAAAGCAAATTACAGTCAAGGAAGACCTGTCCCATTATGTTTTTGTTTTAGCAGCCATCGTGCTATAACCATCCAAACTCTCCCTGAAAACAACTCCAGTCTTTAGTAGCCTGAGCAATTCACAAAACTTGGGGAAAAGCAATGGAAAAACAAGTGTGTGTTACACTTAGATATTTCCATTTGGCTTTTTTCTTTCTCTTACTTTTTGAAAACACACAAGCAAAAACTATTAGAATATCTTTAAATAAAGCCTCTGGCTGAGTAACTCCCAAGTGGATCCTCTGCATCTCAACCAAGGATGCCATCTGTCCCACTTTGCCACCTACCTCCAAGTTTCCTTCAGTCAAAGCTCTCTGCAGCATCATGATACATGTATCATTTCCCCTTTAAAAATATTTTTTTCACTTTTTAAAGGGAAATGCAAAAATATGATTGTTTAAATTTAATTTAAAACAAAATTTGAAAATTAACTGGGAAAATGTATGTAACATGTATAAGACAGACAAATGGTTATTTTTAATAAATATTCTAATATCCCATTTTTTAATGAGCAAAGAATATAAACTGGCCATTAAGTATATGAAAAAGAGTTGGCTGGGCGCGGTGGCTCACACCTGTAATCCCAGCACTTTGGGAGGCCAAGGAGGGCAGATCATGAGGTCAGGAGATCGAGACCATCCTGGTCAACATGGTGAAACCAAGTCTCTACTAAAATACAAAAAAATTAGCTGGGTGTGGTGGCGCATGCCTGTAGTCCCAGCTACTCGGGAGGCTGAGGCAGGGGAATTGCTTGAACGGGGGAGGCGGAGGTTGCAGTGAGCCAAGATCGCACCATTGCACTCCAGCCTGGCGACAGAGCAAGACTCTGTCTCAAAAAAAAAAAAAAAAAGAAAAGAAAGAAAGAAAAGAAAAAGAGTCAAACTTTGCTATTTAAAAATACAAACAAAAATTAGTGCTATTTCATCTATCAAACTGGCAAAAATCAATATCAATTGTATTATTTCATATCTGCTACCGTATGGGGAAATAGCAGTCTCATAATTTGCTGTGAAATTACAATTCAATACCTTTCTAAAGTACTTTAAAAAGTACAAATGTTCTAAATCCATTCATTTTACTTTCTAGCATGGGTGGTTCAGTGGTAGAATTCTTACCTGCCATTAATTTTACTTCTGGAAAGTATTACATGGAAGTATATAAAGACATGTGCGAAGTTAGCTCTAAGGTTCTTCATAGCAATATCATTTGCAATTGCAGAAATATATTAGGAGGATCCTAACTGTCCATCATTAGAACACTAGCTAAGTAAATGATGAGGCATCTATACAATAAAATGTTTATCAATATTAAAGTAACATATATGAGGAGATGGATATTGCACATTCTTGAGTGAAATAAAAAGCAATTTACAAAAGAGTATGGTCCACATATATGTATAAATCTATAGAGTGTTTATAGAAATGTGTTTTGGCAAAAATGGTAATGTGATTTTTTCTGGGTTGTAGAATTTCACGTGTTTTTAAACTATCTTCATTATATTTTTCTGCATCATTTGAATTTTAAACTTTAAATGTGTTGATTTTACAAAAACAAAAAGGCTCTTCTCTTTTAAAAAGGAGATAGTGAGTCTTCTTTGAAAAGCATCTACTCTATGCCTAGAAAGATTCATTTTTCTTGGGGAATTTTATTACCCATTAAAAAGAACTGCACATTATTTTTACTGCTTGAAATCCTCTGAATAAATTTGTAGCAGTTCCCTTCTGAGGACTCAGTCTGGAAAGATTAACCAGTGATTTTGGTTTAAGAAATGAAGTCTATTAAGTGGTCTTAAAAACAAAAGTGGGCATCATTGTTCATGCAAATTATTGGTACTTTAAAAGGTTGTGAGCTTCAGTGAGCAGTCTTTCTCTTCCTTTGCACCTTAGTTTAAATCAGGGGAAAAGGCAATGGGGATGGAGCCCTGTAATGGAAGCATCCACCTCTCCTACCCATTTGGGATGAGGACTAATAGACCTTCTAAAGTTTAGTGTCTGAGTGAGCCTTTGAAATGACAGCAGGGCTTTGATTTTGTGATTAAAATTAAAGATCAAGGTGAGCACCCGGTGCCTGAAGACTTCCCCTGATGGAAATGAATAAACACTTGGCTCTAATACCTATATCCAGCTAGAATACAAATAGAGCATATTATCAGCCATCAGAGCATGTTGTCCCCGAGTAGCAGTGGACTGAGAAGCAGACTTTAAATCAAAGTGAAGGCGAGCACCCCAGTGCCCCTCATCAACCGTTCCTCAGCTGGGATCCCCATGGAGCCCAGAGAGAGGGGGAGAAGGGGGACCCCCTGCTTAGTCAGCCAGATCAGCAGAACCAACCCTGGGATTCAACAAGGTGTCAGGTGTATTCAGTGTACACAGATTCTCATTTGCCTCTTCCACTGTCTGACAGATTGCTTCTTTACAAACCTCCAGAAGGAGGCAAATTACTGGGTAGGGTATGGGGAAAGAAGCACACTCATAAACTGCTAGTGGGAGTATAAATTGGTACATGATTTGGGGAGGGTGACAATTTGGCAGTGTCAGCCAAATTTTAAAATGTACATTCAGTGTAACATTCAGCAACTTTAGTTGTAGGAGTCTAGCTTCCAAATTTTTAGCACAAGGATATGTACAGGGAAGTATACTACAGTATTATTTATAATAGAAAAAGTTCCAAACAACCTAAATGTCCATCACTACAGAATGTTTTATTCACACAATGGCATAATGTGTGTCCGCTAAAAACAAAATAATATGACAGTGACTTGCAAAGATAATCTATGTTAAATGACCCTCCGCCGGAAAAAAAACCAGAACCTTTATTCCATTAATGAGTATATACAAGTGTGTGTACGTAAATGTCTAGCGTTAAAAATAATTTGGAAGGTTATATAATAAACATTATATGGATTCTGCTTAAAAAAGGATGTGTTTAGGACTGAAATGAAAGTAGGGGAAACTGACTTCCTACCTTACTAAGTTCTGTATTGTTTAGATTTAAATGTTTTCCTCATTATGCATACTATTATTTATTAATGTAAGGAGCCAAATCTATTTCCGTACGCTCAGAAGTTTATGCCAAAGTTCTGTTCACGGAGATAGATGTGAGTGTGTGTGTGTATGTGTGTGTGTGTGAGAGAGAGAGAGAGAGAAGGAGGGAGGGAAGAAGGGAGGGAAGGAGGTAGGGAAGGAAGTAGGGAGGGAGGGAGGGAGGGAGGGAATAGAATAAGTGGAAGACCTGAAAGGTACATGAGAGGGATGGCAGAGAGGACAGATAAATGATTTGAATGACCAGAAAGGACTGTCCTATAAAAGCAAGAGAGAGAAGCCCAGAGGGAGGGAGTAAATTTGAAGTCATAAGATATCAACATTCATAGATGAACCAGGACCTGGAAGGTTCAAGATTCCATAGAATTCCATAAGTGCTCTAATCTGTCCCTATATCCCTCCAGTGTGCCCTCGAGTCTGTCCTAGCACAATCACCTCTATCCTCTTCTTTGAGGGACCTTCACTTTCTCTTCCTGACACTGGGCTGTTCCTCTGCAGCCCCCTCAGGTGGTAGCTTCTCTCCATGTCACTCAAACCACAGGGCCTGCCTTCTCTGGCACTTTCATACCTGTTTCTTCCTCCTCCCTAAAATCTTCCAGCTTTGACTCTCATGCCATCAGACTATCCCACATTGGTGGCTATCCAGCTATCCCACACTGGTAGCTGAAGTCTATAGGCTCCCAGGTCTTTCCCACTCATTCTTCAAGGCTTTAGCTCTTATCTCACCATCCCTCCTTCCAGCATGGCCCCTGCCCTAATTCTTCAGAATTTCAATATCTATGATCCTTCCAGTGCCCTTGCTTTTCAGTTCCTTGACCTCTGTTGCTCCAGCTACCACCCACTCCCATGGTCTTATGCTATACTTTGACATTAATTTCACCCCTCGGTCATCTCCATTTCACTCTCCAACTATCATTTACTATCTTTCCTGCTCACTCCATCACTTCAACAACTCATTGACCCACTTAAATCTAAAATCCTTTAATCCTATCACTTCTCCACTGGTCTTTATCCCCTCAGGTTTTCACGTCCTTTTCTACCCAGTTTAGATTCCACGGAGTAACCCGTTTGCACACACAAGTAACTCCCTTGCCTCTTTCTCTCCCTTCATCATACTGTCTCTCCTTGCAACAGCCCAATCCTAACCAAATCCAACTCTCAGCCTACTCTGTACCTGAGCTGTGCCTAGAGAAAAGTATACACCAGTGAGGCCGACTAGGCCCCAGAGATGCCCAAAAACCTTGTACAAGTCTCCTGTTATTTCACACACCCATTGTCTAGCTGAGTTTCCCAATTTCCCTCTTCACCTCAAACCCACAGTGTCTCCTTCTCCATCTTCTGAAATAATGACCTGACTTACAATTTTATTGAGAAAATCAGAAAAGAACAAGCACCTTCACCACATCCTGCTACACTGTATCTGAGCTGTTCACTCTGCTTTGTCCCATTATTGTGAATGGATCATCCATGCTTGCAAGTAGACCAACACCTCCATTTGTGAACTAGGTCCTATTTCTTCTTGCCTTCTCATGGACACTGATAAGACAATTCTCCACTCCTTCCTTGCATCATTAATTTTACCTTCTCTAGTGAATGATTTCCCAATAGAATCCAAACATGAAGATTTTTTCATGCAACCTTTAAAAAACCTTGATCTCTAACTACTGCCCCATTTTTCTGCTTACCCCTTTGCAACAAAAATCACTGAAATAGTTATAGGTACTTGTGCTGCCTCAAATTTCTCTCCTTTCATTATGTTTTTATTCCAATATTCTATTCCTACTAGTCACTTTCCCCAAAAATCCATGACATATTGATAAATCCAACAGTCAATTCTCAGTTCTCATCCAACATGACCTATTTACAGTATTTAACACTATAGTTGTTTAAAGGTTGATCATGTTCCGCTTCCTAAAATGCTTTCTCCAATTGGACTCCTGTGTGCCAGCCTTTCCTGGTTATCCTCCTGCCTTTCTAGGGACTCCCCTCAATTTCTCTTCATCTTCCAGACCTCTAAACATCAACATGTCCCAAAGCTTGATCCTTAGGCTTCTTCTCTGCCTATATTGATTTCCTTGTTGACTTTATTCAGTGTTTAGTTTTAAAACTCCAGACTCATATGCTCAACTCTTACATGACATTTTTACTTGGATTTCTAATAGGCATCTCACACCCAATATATCCAACACCAAATTCTTTGCCTTTCTACAGAAATTTCCTCCTCAGTCTTCCTCACCTCTATAAATGAGAAATCTGTTCTTCTAGTTTCTCAGGCCAAAACCTGGACATCATCCTTGACTCTTCTTTGACTCACAGCCTTATCCAATCTATTAGGATATTCTTTAAAATATATCCAGAATTCAGTTATCTCCCACAAATACCACTGCTACCATCATCAGCTTCTACCTGGATTATTGTAACAGTCTCCTAGCTGCATTATGCATTGTTGTGAATGCTGCTGGTTGTTTCACTACATGTGGGTCACCACCGCATTTGGGTCAATATGGGTTGACCAATTCTACTTGTAGTTTGCTGTGGACATGTGACTAAGTTCTGAACAAAGGAATGTGAGCAGAAGGAATGTGTGCCAGTTTCAAGGTAGACCATGGACCTAAAAACCATGGACGCACCTCCTGCACTTTCTCCACTTATGAACCAGAACCTGGAGGAATCTATGGTTCATGCAGATAAAGGCAATAGCCTAAGGGATAGAGAATCCTAGATGGCTGGAAAACTACATAAAGCAAGCTGCCTGCTACCCTGAAACATACACCTCAGACTGTTAGATGAAAGGAAAATAAACTCTTATTCTCTTTAATCCACTGAATTTTTTCTGGGGCTATTTGTTAGAGAAATTTAGCCTTAACCTAACTAAAACAAGCACCTCAAGTATAGAACCTAAAACCTACAAGCTCCTCAAAAGCTTGAAAAGATATTTGAATTCTTGCCCTTATCCCCAAAATTAGTAGCTCCAAAATATGAAAAAAAAAAAAATGGCAGCAACTTTAAAGTCAGCATCGGCCAGGTGCAGCGTTCACTCCTGTAATCCCAGCACTTTAGGAGGCCAAGGTGGGCAGATCGCTTGAGCCCAGAAATTCAAGATCAGCCTGGGCAATATGGCGAAACCCTATCTCTACAAAAAAAAATTTAAAAATTAGCCGGGCATGGTGGTGCATGCCTGTAGTCCTAGCTACTCAGGAGGCTGAGGTAGGAGGGTCGTTTGAAGTGGAGGTTGCAGTAAGCCAAGATTACAGCCACTGCACTACAGCCTGGGCGACACAGTAACACCCTGTCTCACACACATACACACACAGAGTCAGCATTGATAAATGTTTACATGACTAAAAGCGTTGACATCATGTCAACACACCAGCTGCAACTCAACTTACATGTCATGTATAAATGTAGTAAAGTTTAATCATAAAAATGAAATGAATAATTCATTCCTAATGAACTTCAAATTTATCAAAATTATTTTAAAACAGTTTATAGCAAATAATTATGTTGAAGTACGGGTCATGTTATCATTTGATGTGATGTGGGGTAAAGCTCAAAGTAAAAGCACTTAGGTCCTAGCATGGCCTTGAATGATGCTACCTGACCCTGCTGTTTACTAGCTGAGTTACCTCCGTCAAGTTGTCCAAACTTCTGAGAGTTTTTCAGAAGTTTCCATTCTCTGAAAAATGGGAAGGGGGCAGAAAATAATACCTATTTTACAGGGTTGCAAAAAGAAAAAAATATATACTAGTTTTGAAAATACTTTACACACATTGTAGGAACGTAGGGGACGAGTAGTATTACATTATATATTTCCATAAAATCTCAGTGTTTGAAAGAAGTCTAAAAATCACTTAAGTGCCCACATATCAACAAACTTATCTGGAAAGATTTTTTTTAAACACCAATAGCAAAGCCTCTGTCTCCAAAGAGTCTCATTAAGTAGGCCTTGGAATTCCATATTTTTAAAGCTCCCCTATACATAAGATACTGATAGTGTTGGTTGCTTTCAATAGGTAAGAAGGGGGTGGCTGTATGACTGGATATGAAGAATTTTCACAAAATATTTTCTGAACTTCAGAATTTTGAACCACATGAATGTACTTTCATTTTGACAAGTAATCATATTTAAATTATTTAATAAATAACCAATAGATAAAATAAATGTTTCTGGGATGATTCTGGCCCTGATACAGTTTGGGAAGTAAGTTAATTTCCCTAACCACTCCTTCATGCAGGTTTGGTCTTCCCCACACCCCAGATTCCACTTGAACATTCCCAGTGTCTTCACTGCCCTTACCTTACAAAGCAGACCAGGAAGTTGGACAGCTATAATTGTTAGCGTATTGTTCTGTGTAAGTCTGTGTCAAAGTGAGGGATGCCGTAGACATCATCACATAGGTGGTGGCCACAGCATAATCTCTGACCCATAGCATAAGTGAATTCATCAACGACAGTGAGGAACTTGATAACAGGATTTACTGGATATAATTCTGGTGGGTCGCTGTCTGTCACCAAGACAGAAAACTGACATTGATTTTATCTTCAGATTTTTGCTTGACCTACCAATGTGATTGTGGCGCTGGTTATCAGGGAGCTCTCAAAATGGGATATGAGCCCTTGTTTAATCAGCATTGTGTCTGCCTTGTCCCTGATTCTTATTATCTAATGCAAATGGGCTTCCTTATTACCTAACATAGTAGGTTCAAGCTGGGAGAGCCAAACAAACTGAAGCTACAAAATGCAAGCAACTGAGCACTGTCTTGTCTTAGGGACAAAGTAAATAAATGCATCAATTCCCCAACACAAATGCACTACAATAACCAAAGACAGAAGAAATCACTTCCAAAGAATTGAATGGAAAGTGTTTAATTTTGTACTTGTTTCCACGATTTTGGAATGGAAACCAGTCCTTTCAACTCAGAAGACTATACCAATTGCCTCTATTTTCCCCACCTCCACTACCAAATTCCTATTATTTGTTCTCATCTGAATGGTCTGAAACTGTCAAGTAACAGAAAGGTTGTTATCAATACTGTATCTGCCCCAGATGGATTAGAGGAAGAATGATGTTTGTGGCTCTCTGTAATCCCTCCATAGACTCCAGGACTTTATGAGTTTCTCCAGGGAATGTGGCAAAGCCACAGGAAATCCCCAAAAGCAAAATGTTGCAGACTGCTCTCTGGTTTAGCCACCAAGCACAGAAAAAGTAATGCAGGCAAAAAAAAAAAAAAAAAAAAAAAATTAGAGAAAACTCTTCCTTGTCTGCAAATCAGAGGCAGTTGAGAGCATGAGTTGTTTTATTTCTCCTGAGGTCCACTGTTGCTTGTCAGTCTCTAAGGAACACATACCTTGATGCATGTCTTCTGTTTCCAGAGTGAACCCCAAAGCTTCAAGTAACCTCATATGGAGTCGGAGATGTGTACTGATGTTGCCTCCAGTCTCATTTTGTTTGTAAGCCTACAGATAGATTTGAGGGAGGCTTTGAACAACATCTTTATATTCTCTGTGCTTGAGTTCCTCTAAATTGAATGGCATTTGCCATTCACTTTCATCGTGGAATTGAGGGGAAGTAGCTACAATGGGATTTGTAAAAAAGATTTTTGAGCAGATTGTAAGGAGAGAACAGTGAGTCATAAAGTAGCCATTCTTTACTCTTTTAAGCAGTAATTTATATTTATTGAAATTCATAGTGCACACATAAGCTATGGGAAGACAGCAAGGGAAGCAGAGCATAGGTGAGTGTTCTAATAGAAACACAGAATAAGAAAACAGAATAATATTAGCTGAAAAATTCAAGTTCCTTGCATCAAAAAATTTAGGATCACAAGCAATATTATAGGCAATTCTGAAAATATTTTCTTTTTTCTACTCTGATGCATTTTGTTGGCATTTGTTGTATTAAAATCTCAGCAAATGCTTTATTAAAATGAATTTGGTATAAACAAAACAAAATTTTTCAGCCTATTTGTCACAATTGTAGAATGTTGGATTTTTAAAAAAGGACTTAAGGATGCCCAAAATATTTTATTTAAAATGCTCCTTACATGACACTCTGGGGACTGTTGTGGGATGGGGGGAGGGGAGGGATAGCATTAGGAGATATACCTAATGCTAAATGACGAGTTAATGGGTGCATCACACCAACATGGCACAAGTATACACATGTAACAAACCTGCACATTGTGCACATGTACCCTAAAACTTAAAGTATAATAAAATAAAATAAAATAAAATAAAATAAAATAAAATGCTCCTTACACTATAGGTGAATTGGGCAGAGAAATAAACACATTTTAGGTGGTCTTCCTAGAGCATCCAGGCCCTAAAATAACCTCAACTGACATTAACAGGGAGGTATCTTAAAATAAACTATAATTTACTGTCATTTTAACAACAACGACAGAGTTGAAACGAATGTTTGTATGCCATATTTGTGCCTAGAAATATTTTCAGACTATAAAACCATGCGTACATCAATATTTGGGAAATGTTTGTTTCTTTAAAAAAAACGGATATTCAGAGATGCTTTATGCCTCCTGGCAATTTTTGCTTCTTTTTGGATGAAAAGACGCTATACTATTTGTACTACATACAGAAACCGAGGAAACCTTGACGCTATTTGCCTCCTAATTTTAGTTTCTTTGAAGTCTGCATTCTGTTCCAATATATCAGCCTTGTATTAAACACCAAAACAGGAAAAGAAAGAAACCCCTATATCAAATACACAGAAGAGATAAACAAGGTGTTAATTTTTTCAAATATTATTTCTAGAGTTTTGCATACTACCTGCACACGCTCCACAGCAGGGAGGGGCGTTAAGAAGAGGTAAGCCTGGAGCACAGTGAAATGTGACCTTGCCACAACCCCATCAAAGGTCTGTTTGATTGATTTTTCTTCCCTGCAAACGATCGGAAAGTAGCAGTGACAGAACAAGTCCTTAAAATTCGACAATCACTAGGGCATACTTCATTTCATCACACAAATAGGGAGTTGAAAGGTCGCCACTAGTTCTATGGGTTTCCTCAGCAAGACAGACTCTTTAACACCCAAGTTTTGAAAGTATGAACTACAGTATTCCACAGATGATTGTGCCTGGTGTTTAAAAGGCCCCTGCAGAGGTCTAGTCAAAATATTTACATTCCTCTCTGAAACTGTAATGCAAAGGAAAAGGGAAAAATCGTGAGAGGACAAATCAAAAGAAAAACTTTCCTTCCCCGGCAACAAGAAAAGGTGTCAGGCCGCTGGGTCTTCTGCAGACAGCCCTGTTCTCTTGGTGTAGATCAGGTGCCCATCACACACTTTTCCAACGGACGTACATCTATAGCAAGGTGCATTAGCTGCATTCCGTGTCAAAATTAGGGCTGTATCCATTTCTGAACACATGTGGTTAACAGAAAGCCTCATCATCCCGCCGTAAGTGGGTGTGTTTAATTGTCCATGCGTGTTCCCCGAGGCGCTCCATGGACGCTGCAAATAGATGGGTGAGTGATGGGCACATATATTTTCTCCATAAAGTGCAGCCACTGGCTCAAAGTGAGGCAGACTCTGGCAAGGAAGAGAGTTCGAGGCTGGGTGGCGGCGAGGATGGGATGGGGGTGGGGAGGAGGAGCAGGAGGGGGCGATGATTAGCGAAGGAAATGACCCAACTCCCTCCCTTCTGTTTTCACAATCTGCGTCACACTCCTGTACGCTCCCGGCCCGCGGCGGGCGAGCGGGCGGCCGCGAACGCCGGGTCAGGCCGGGCACCAGCCTGGCGGTCGCCTCCCAAGCTCCGGGTCCGCCAGCCGCTCGGCTGCCCGCTGTAGGCCCCCTAAAGAAGCCGAGGTGGGCACTCGGCCTGGCGCCTGGGGGCCGAGCCCACGACCAGCAGAACTTCTCCCAACCCAGCGCCTCTCGACGTGGGACCGGCTGGGCTCACTGGGCTCGGGGCTCCGGTCGGCGAGGAGGCGCCGGGAGCGGGGAGTGGAGACTCTTTGGTCTCCCGGGCTGTGGCGGTGCAACTCCCGCCGCCTGCGTTCTAGACAGAAAAGCCCCTTCTGACCATGCATTAGTAGTACTACTCCATTATTCCTGTTAGAACAAGTTAAAAGTAAGGGTTGAGCCCAAAGGCCCCAGGAGGGGGGTCATGTGCGCCCCAGTCACTCAGGCTCCCCTCGCTTCTCCGGTTCGAGTTATGCCATCAAGCTAATATATTGTGACTGCTCTTCTCTCCTGTGACAAAGGCTTGCAGCTGCCTCCAAATCAATAGATGTCAAAGAAATATGAAAACAATCATGACACAAAACTTAAATCCTGGCTGGAGCCTACATAATCAGAAATGTGCTACTGTTCTTCAAGCCACCGATTAATTTATCCCAAACTTTAGTCAAATTTTTATTCCGGTACCTTTTTCCCAGCAGATCCTGCTACGTCTGTCGGGTTTGTAATGTAATTTGTAATTACTGCCCTTCATGTGGTCCGGTGCCTTGAACCATCTTTAATTAAAAGCATAATTAAGGGAAGATCTAAAGAAAGACAATTACCAGATGGTCTTTTTTTTAGAGGCGGTAGTTGCGCAGAGAGGGGCTCGGGGTCTGTCCCCGGGACCCCACGCCTTGGGAGGGGGCGGCGGGCCCGAACGGCGCCTGCGCACTGAGGAGGCCTTGGCCTGGCTTGCACCCCGGGTCCCTCCCTCACCCCACCGGGCCACACCCCGCCACACCCCGCCCTGGCCCTGAGGCTCCACCGAGGCCGCGCCCAGAGGTGAGCGCCAGCGTCCCCGCCGTGCAAAGAGACTCTGGCTTTCTTCGCTTTTCCCCGGGGGGTAGCGGGATGTGGGGGTGAGTCCCCAGCAGGGAGGCTGGGAGAAGATCAAGGCCGAGGCAACTTTCAAATCTGCGAAGGGGCCCCCGATCCGGGCCCATCCCGCCCTGCACGCGAGCCTGAGAGCTCTGAAGCAGAAAGAAGGAAAGGATGCGAGGGCTGGAAGGGAGACGAAGGAATGAGAGAAGAGCGTTTGCCCCGCCAGATGACAGCCTTGGGAGGAGGCCCTGGCCTAGGTCCTCCCTGACTGGGACTGACTAGGGTGGGAGCTGGGGGATCCTAGCCCTGCGGGCCTGGGAACCCCTGGGACAAAAAGACAGCCGGGGAGCGCCGTCGACCGCAGCCCCGTCGGTCAAAGTGGCCCCTTGACAGCTATTCTCTCGGCTTTCGGTTCCTCGGTGTCCATTGGTCCCCGGGATTTTCAGAATAAGTTCGGGGGAGGGGAAGAAACCCACTCTCCACTCCTATCCCATCCCCACGTCCCCGAAATGAATAATGCAGGCAGGAGCCAAGATTTCTGCATTAGCGCCACGTTGCCCCGGCGGCTGGCGCTAGGATCCCGAAGTCGGATAATGGAAATTAAACTGTTGTTGTGTGGCGGGGATGTCATTATGTGACTGTTCATATTCAAAGTCAGGCAGCAATGAATTGTAATCATTTCAATTATCTTCAATACACTTTCTTTAGGACACAAGTTGTCAAGGATAAAAAAAAAAAGTACATTCTTGCGGCTCCGTGGGTCCATTTTCCAGATGGTTTGTTACTCTTGCTGCCTGATTTAGTTTCGGCTTTTATTCCCCAGCCTCAGATTCTCTTGCAGAGACTCCGCCGGAGTGAGCGGCTTCTCTGGCGCTGCGGGCCGGCTACGCTGGTCGGCAATCGGCCTCCGTGGGCCTGGCGTGCGCATTTTGGTTGCTTTCAGGTATAATTAACTTTGAACAACAAATATGCCTGGAGCTCTGGATCTAGTGTCCCCTTGGGGAAGGGGGCCGTCGTATTATACTCTGCGTCCTTCCCAGCCTGGGGCGGGGTGGGGGCTGGCTGCAGCAGCTGCACCCACTCCCCAGGCCAGCGCTGCGCGTCAGAAAAGCATGTGCTGGGCTGTACCCACTCCTCCGACAGAGCCCGGACCCTCTCCTTCCAACCCAGAGAACTCAGGGAAAAGCCGGGATCCCCGGAGCCTGCCGTCCTTTGTTGAAATTACCCTCTGCCCAATGTTCGCTCCCTCCTGTGCCTGAACGTGGGGCTGCGACAAGTTGGATGTGGTGTCCTTGAAGTATCCCTTCGAGCGCCCTCCGCCCCCAGACTGGGCAAAAAGAGTAGGGGTCGCCTTTGAAGCCCAAGTCCGCGGCTCCTATTTGGACTAATCCCGATCTTTACACTAATATCGCCTCTCGGGTTTTCATTATACTCATTTGGGAGGAAATGAGCTTTTGCTGGGCAAATAGCACCCTGCACCCCACTTCTCATAGCTGTGCAGGCCCGGGGCCTGAACAACCCCGCAGGCAATCCGGGAGCTGCCGATATTATATTTGTGAAATGTCCTTTTGTTGAGGCTTTTAACACCTTCTTATAACGAATCATTTGTTCTTTTCTCTTTAATTTTGATAGACAATTAGCCATCAGAGATACACCAGTTGACTGTAACCGAGCATTAAACTCGCCTTTATGTAACGCTAATTTAGCATAGCTGCTTTGTTTAACTTTGCTATATAAGAACCAGGTTTTGTAGCAAAAAAAAAAAGGTGTAATTTTATGTGGGGCTTCATTTCTTTTGGCCCTGTACACAGCTAGCCCTCTCCTCTTTGTGAAGCGTTCTGCTGGGGCCTGACGCCATTTCCCGTGCCTAGCACCTGCAGGCTGGGGGGAGAGAGGGAATTAGCATTGATATAGATTTAGTTGAAATGTAATCTCTTAAATCTGTCCAAGATTCGGGGAGATAATTACACTTTCACTGAATTGCCAGGGGTCAGCGTCTCTGAGGACCTGAGGAGTTGATTTACTAACAATAGTGTTACATAAAAAATGGCGTTTGAGATTATAATGTTAATGGCTGCGGTCGCTGGGGAATGCGCCCGCTTCCAACTAATTCCATGTAACTTGTTTTTTTTCCTCCCTTTTCCTCCCTCCCTTTCTTCCAGGCTCCGTCTTTGCAGGGATTCAAAGCCTTCGCGGTGTTTAATTTGGTGGCAGGCTCCAGTAGGCTAAGACCAGAAGTTCTGGAGCTTGGGGTTGATGCTCTTGTTCTGGGAGTGTTTGTGGTGACATATTGGGGCCTCGACAGCAAGGTTGGCCTCTGTCCCACAAGGACGAGGACTAGGATGCGGGGTCCGAGCACCAAGTAGCCAAGCTGAGGAGCGGAGGGAGACGGCTGCACCCAGAGGAAGCCCTCCCTGGCCTGCAGGAGACTGGACCTCCCTAGCCAGCGGCTGCCTCGCGCCTTGGGCCGCGCCAGGAGGCTGCCCTGCCTGCCTGGAAAGGGCCCTCCCAGCTTCCTGCGGCCTCTAGCTCCCCGGCCCCGCAAGGACCAGGCCCTATTTTGCTCCCTACTCGCCCTCCTAGGCCAGCTTTCCACCCAGCAGCCTCAGACCCGGGGACGCTCGCTTCCCGCCCAAACTTTCCTTTCCAGCTGGACTTTGCGGGGAGGCTGGGACCTGAGTTCAGAGAGGCCCTGCAAGTCTAGATTCTGCTTTAGGATAGGGGTTAGCTTTAAAACCAAAAAGCCAGCCTCCTTTGGGGTGAAGATGGTTGCAGAGTTTACAGTCCCTCCACACTCTTCAAACCTCACCCACAGCAGTCCCCAGTCACAGTCACAACACCTAGACTTCCCCAGAAATCTCATGGCTTCCCCTAACTTGCAGCCTCACAGGGTGACTCCAGCGCTTTGCTCCTCTGAAAATCTCACTTGCTCTAGGTGAATGGCCTCAGGTTATCAAGGACCCACTGGCAAACTCGTTCCTACCCATGGGTCAAGGAAGAGCCCTGGGAACTGTACCAGAAACAAAGTCTGAGGAGGGAAAAGCAGCTCTTCCTAGGTAGGACACAGGACCGGTTCCTTGGCGGCACTGGGCCGGTGAGTCAGAGAAGGAGTTGAGAGCTCAGGAGCAGCCTCAGGCCACACCAGGTTTCAGTGGCCTAGGCCTGCCCACAGGATGTGGCCATTGTTGATATGTTGTGTCCAGCAGCTCAGATTTTCCTATGAGGGCAAGACATTGGAGCGCAAAAGGGGGAGCCTCTGCCCTCTATCTCTTACTCCTTACATAGGACTCCAGGAGACAGAGCAGGACTTGTCCTTCCAGACCTGGGCCCAGGCCTCGCCCAGCCTCTCCCTTGATCTGGGAGCTTTGCTTCCATGAAGAAAGGGTGCTGGACCTGTGAACTGGGGCTCCTAGCAAAAGAAGCAGCTGCACTTAGCCTATCACACTCTCACCCACCTTACGGAGCCCCGGGCCTACAGGCTGGCCATGCAAACCTGGGTGCCCTCCGGCTTGCCAGAATGGGAGAACAGAGCCAGAGAGGCCTGGATGCCCAAGCCCGGATGCCCAAACCCTTGGCACTGGGGGGGGGGGTCCCTGCACCCCACGCGTGTTTACGTCAGTGCCCCCTTATCTTATATGTAACAGCAATATATATGTTAATTGAAAACTTCTGAATTTAAAAAGGTTGTGACAAGTTATAATTTGTCCTGTCAATGCCTGGAATCCTTATTTATCTCTTTAGCTTGCCTCCCGCTCGCGCCTGTCAGCTAACAGCTTGCCTAACTCGTTGACTTCCTCACTCATGGCACGGAAATGACAAATGTGCTGTTTTATCCGTACAATTTATTTCATTATTGTTGCCAGCACGAAGCATCACAATCAATCATAAGGAAGTCCAGTTGGCAGGTGTCAATCTTGGTGTGTTTTTGTACGTCTCAGTCTATATTTAATCCAATTATAAGGGTCACGGAGTAAGTGCCAATCCTCTTGTTACAACTCACATCTTATTTAAGATTTAAAGTAAAAAAGTCAACTCGATCACATGGACCTTTTGGGGGAAGGGAGGGGACTCAGTTGAAACCCCCTCATCTCCCTCTCTCAGCCTTCCCCTGGCCTCCAATTTAAATTATGCAGCAATCCTTTTTTATTAAAGGGTTGCAGGGAATCCGAGTTTTATGAGCATTTGTGTGCAAATGAAGGCTCTCCTTATTTTGCTAAAGTAGAAGCAAGCTTAATGATGAGAGATCTTTCCGCTCATTGCCCATTCAAATACAATTGTAGATCGAAGCCGGCCTTGTCACGTTGAGAAAAAGTGAATTTCTAACATCCAGGACGTGCCTGTCTACTTTCAGTGAATTGCATCCAATCACCCCCAGGGAATTCAGCTAATGTCTCCATCTCTACCCGGACAAGGGAGAGAAAGAAATCAAACATGGTGCCACAAACTGACTTAATATGAAAATGTTTAAAAGGAAAGAAAAAGCAGAGTTTTCTCAAATTGATTGTTGTAGAGTTTTTTGTTTTGTTTTGTTTGTTTGTTTGTTTTTTGTTTGTTTGTTTGTTTGTGACAAAGCTAACTGGAAGGATTGGAGATTTTCCACAGAGGTCCGGGAAAACTTTTTATGGTGTGGCAAAATAGAAGAGAGAAAAAAGTAAAGTAGTTATTTAAATGAGAGCAGGAAAATAAATTAATAGCAGAGAAAACACAGAATTGCACATAATCATGCCATTATGCAATCCTTGAGACCGGGGTGAAGAGATGGCAAATATTATCTTTGCTAAATAGTCCCCTTTTTGACGCTCGAATTCACAAAACTTTCCTTCAATTTTGATTTAAAATAAAAATCTTGTTAAAACAAGTTTTCTGTTTAAAGGGGAGGAAGTGGAGAGGGAAGGAAGAGCAAGAGCCACACGTACTGCCCAGTAAATTAGATTCCTTAGATGATATATTGATTACTGGCTTGTACAGCTATTTGAAATGACACTCAAATAATACACAGTATTTTAAATCAATTATTTAGGGGCTTTTTCCTCTCCTATTAATTTGTATATGGAAAAGCTTTATTAAACCATTTTATAAGTTAGCGCTCACCCTGGAATCCTTTTTTAAAAATATTGTAGAAATTAACAGGATGCATTATCTTCCAGATTGAGTAAAATTAAATTTTAAGAGGAAAATCCATTTTTATTTTATAATTGGTGGGAGACTCAGTGCCTATTCTCAATAAAAAGGCAAATACTAAATCAATTCCCACCCACCTGGTAGCACAGATCCAGCGGTAGGGGCTCCTCCAGTCTGGAAGCGGCTTTATTTGCATAAAGTAGTTAAGGGGAGAGAGGAAAAGCGACAGAGGCCGGGAGGGGAAAACATACCTTCGACAAGAACAACAGTTCAAGCCAAGAGCCGATTTCTCTATCTTTCTCTCTCTCCACTACTTCCCCTACTTCAAGGCCTCTCACGCCCATCCAGGCTCTCCACCCAGCCTCTGCTGGCTGATGGGGAAGCTCTGGGGCCGGGGCTGGCCTGGGAGCCTACGCAGACTGGGCGGCTGCCGAGCTCGCTCACTGTGCGGTGGAGAATCAGAGCCTGGAGCTGCCCTAGGTGTCGGAAATTTGCAGTCTGTGCTACCCCGGGCTGAAGGGAGGCCTGAAAGAAAAGAGGTTTCTTTCCCGCTTCCGGTCCTTTTCACCCCAGCTACAGCCTGCCTCAGGTAGCACTCGGCATTTGGGGCTCTACGAGTCGTCGATGATGCCCCCGGGCCGCCCGCGGTGCCCTTCTTCCCGCAATGCGAGCCAGTGTGGCCTAGAGAGGATGCCTCTGCCAGGGAGAGGCGAGGTGGGACCTCGTAGGCTGGGCACCACACGGGGCCCTGCCCAGCTTCCTCCAAGGCTGGTGGCAGGCGCGGAGAGGAGCCCCCAGCACTAGATTTCTGGTAGGGTCTCCAGAGTGCTCCGAGGTCGAGCGCTTCTCCAAGAATCCAGCTGAGGCAGCGGCTAAACCCGCACCTTCTCCCTCGGCGACCCCAGAGCCGGCTCCCTCCCTCCCAGCCTCCTTGCCCGGGACAAATGGAGAGCGGCTCGTGCGTTGGCCCGGAGCTCGGAAGGGCCTAGTTCGGGCCTCGCCTGCACCACCGGCGCTCCCGCGCAGCCCGAACGCGCCCTTTATTGACAGGCAGATAAGCAGGCGGGGGCCGTGGCGTTTCCAGAGTCGCTCTCGAGCACCCTGCTGGGTTGCAGGGATTTGCGCACACTTAATGGCCTGGACTCCAAACAAGCCCATAACAGCCCTCTCGGCGGCCTAGGGTTGGTACAGTGTGGGGAGCGAGACCCGGACAGAAACTGGCCAGCTAGGAAGGCCTACACAGGTCCGAGGCCTATCCGCAGCCCACACGCCAAGGCGGACGGCGGAGTCTGGGAGACCTCAGGACATCTGAGGCTGGAGGCTGGGCCAGGTCCTGGAGGGGAGCTAGGGGCTTACCAAGAAACTAGGTCACTGGAGATGGCCGACGGCGACAGGGAAACCAGAACAAATGCCTCTCTTAGCATCCCTTCCCAGCCGAGCAGGGCGACAGGACCATGGTAAGGTCTAGGCCCAGACTAGAGTGGCCAGTGGGAGGTGGGCGCTCCTAGGCCTTAACACAGGATGCCCAGGGCGTTAGGAAGAAGAAAGAAAGTTTGGAGAATGTTTGTAAATAAGTAAGAACATCCTGCGGAAACTTCTCAGCCAAAGCTCCCATTCTCCTCCCCACCTTCACCGCCACCCCCACCTCTACCCCTACCCCCACTCCCACCCCTACTCTGCCCTCCAGTCCTCGACGGGCTGAGCAAGACAAAAAATCAAGTCCAGCTAGGAGCTGTCCGGGCTAAGAGGAGTGGGCAGACGGGCTGCCTGGAGCTGCCTCCTGGCCGGTTGCGAGGCCCGGCACCTGTCCAGGTGTGCCAGGGGCGGGAGCGGGAATCACTAGACCTCCGCCTCGGCGCCATCTGTGCTCGGCTCTCCCTTAGCCGCCGCCCGGATCAAGGCGCGCAGGGACTGGCCCTAGGACCCTCCTCCGGCCCAGGCGTCCCCCTCCCTGCTTCTACACACACACTCCCGGGTCCACCCAGGCTGGGTCTCCACGAGCTGCCTAAAGGAAATTCCACGCCCCGCCCCTTCCTCTCCCGCAAACTCCTCAAGTGACCCCTGCCCCTCCGGGCCCCACCACTGTCACTTTCAAATTGGAGAGCCAGATGGAAGCATAGGGGAAGGAGTTGAGAAGCTTCCTGTTTTGAGGGATGAGGGACGGGAATGACAACGAGGGTCTAAATCTCCATTCCAAGATAGCCAGGCCTAGCTCCGCTAAGCCATCTCGCAGTCCACAGAAGGTGTGAGGGAAAAACAGGCACAGACCAGCAAGTCAGTGTCCTGCAGACCCCGCCCCAATTTCTATGAGTATTGACTTCAGAATCTGGGATTTTCCTGTTTTCCTCCTCTAAGTCACAAAGTCAACAGTTAATTCAAAGTCAAAGATAAATACAATCACCTACATTTTCTAATGTGGTTGGAGCCTTTCAGCCAGAGGGCGAGGGAAGCCCGGGTAGGCCCCCTTTAGGGCTTCCCTCTTGAGAACCCAGCAGGCCTGGAGAGACCTTTGGCCTAGGCCCTGAAAAAGGGGTCGCATGTCCTCTTCCCGGAGCCCCCGTCTGTGCCCAGCTAGTGACTTGCGGGCTCGAGGGCCAGGTTGAGGGTACTCATCGAGCCTCGAACTCCTCCTAAAAATGATTCCTGCCAAAAGCGCCTCTCCATCCCGGCGCGGCCTTCGGGTCTCTCCGATGAAGGGACTCCCTTGGGGATCGGAGGAGGGGACAGGGTGATTACCCAGAGAGGTAGCTGGCCAGCCTAAGGGCAGAGATCTTGGGGCCCTAGTGCCCGAAGGTGCGGAGGAGCGCACTCGGCAAGACTAGTTTCCTGGGGATCGACTCTACGCCATACAGGACGGCGGCCCAGGCTGGACCGGGCCGGGCTAGAGCAGTCACAGGCCGGGCCAAGGAAGGCCAAAGCAGGGGTTGGAGCCGGCCGGACCCTGGGTGGGGAGAAGCAGGCTCCCGCCCGGCCGGAAAACTAGTCGGCGCAGAGCTGTGCCCAACTCTAGCCGCCATGACGTCACGCGGGCCGGGCAGCCAATGAGGACGGCGCTGGCGTGGATATTAAGGAAAGTTAGCGCCTGCCTGAGCACCCTCTTTTCTTATCATTGACATTTAAACTCTGGGGCAGGTCCTCGCGTAGAACGCGGCTGTCAGATCTGCCACTTCCCCTGCCGAGCGGCGGTGAGAAGTGTGGGAACCGGCGCTGCCAGGCTCACCTGCCTCCCCGCCCTCCGCTCCCAGGTAACCGCCCGGGCTCCGGCCCCGGCCCGGCTCGGGGCCCGCGGGGCCTCTCCGCTGCCAGCGACTGCTGTCCCCAAATCAAAGCCCGCCCCAAGTGGCCCCGGGGCTTGATTTTTGCTTTTAAAAGGAGGCATACAAAGATGGAAGCGAGTTACTGAGGGAGGGATAGGAAGGGGGGTGGAGGAGGGACTTGTCTTTGCCGAGTGTGCTCTTCTGCAAAAGTAGCAAAATGTTCCACTCCTAAGAGTGGACTTCCAGTCCGGCCCTGAGCTGGGAGTAGGGGGCGGGAGTCTGCTGCTGCTGTCTGCTAAAGCCACTCGCGACCGCGAAAAATGCAGGAGGTGGGGACGCACTTTGCATCCAGACCTCCTCTGCATCGCAGTTCACGACATCCACGCTTGGGAAAGTCCGTACCCGCGCCTGGAGCGCTTAAAGACACCCTGCCGCGGGTCGGGCGAGGTGCAGCAGAAGTTTCCCGCGGTTGCAAAGTGCAGATGGCTGGACCGCAACAAAGTCTAGAGATGGGGTTCGTTTCTCAGAAAGACGCGGAGTACGAAAGAATGCGGCCGACAGAGCTGGGCAGCGCGTAAAGCTCCCAGCGTGTGATTTGAGCTTCACTTCGGAAGACCTAATAATTAGCGATTCTCACTGAGCTAGAACGCGGGCTCCGGTTACTGCGGGCGCTGCGCTGGCTGCCTCGGCGGGAAGCGCGCGGGCGCCATGGGAGCCGGGCCGCCAAGCCCGGGAAAGAGAAGCGCCCACCACCCTGCGGCCCTTGGAGGGCCAGAGCCGGGGCCCGGAAGTGTCCCCTTAGTGAGTCAGGGAAGGGACGACCCAAACTTAGACTAACTTGTGGTTCAGCCGGGCGAAAGTCCTGGGAGCCCGGCCCTAAAAGCAGCTGGAGACGCCCAGGCCGGCTTAGGCGGGGCACCCAAGAACCCCGCCCGGGAGTTTGGGGCGGCCTCTGGGCCAGGCCCCGGCTAGCCCCCAACCCCCACTCCCACTCGCGCTCCTGCGCCCCCTTTCTAGGTCTTCTGGGAGCACCTTCGGAGCTCAGTCACCTGTGACAGGTGTTGGGACCTCCGCCCGACTCCGAGCGGTGGCGCCCCCTGCTCACCTCACCTGGAAACGGGGGACGAGCGCAGTGGCAGTCCGGCCGCACGCCTTACCTGGGCCGGGATCCTCTCCTCCGCGGGTTCCTCTCCCTGGAGCTGGGCGGCGAGCAGGTCGCCTGCTTCGCAGTGGGAAGTGGACCTTCTCCTCCAGTCATAAATCAAACCCAGCCATCCTCGGGCCTCCTCCCTCATTAGAGATGTTTATTGGAGATCGTGTTTATTCGGCTGTCACGGCGAGAAAACGCGGTGACATAATTACCTCTGACCAGAGTCCTCGCTCCGCGCCCAGGGCGAGCCGAGGACCTCCTCTGTCGCCTTCTCATGCCCGTGCCCTTCGTGATCGGAGGGCGCCCGTGATAGGCTTGTCTTTTTTTCCTCAGACCCTCTCATAGAATTTGGATGACTGGAATTACTATTCAGATTTCCCCAGGGCCCGGAGTTTATTTATTTATTTTAGAATTGGAAAGGAAAACCGAAGGGAACCCAACGCCCCTCCGGGGCAGAAGGGGGCAGCGCGCGCGAGGCGGAAGGACAGTCACTCTCGCTGCACAAACTTTCCCGCGGGCCGCGCCGCGCGTGCAGGGGCTGGACGCCACCCGGCGCCAGAGCCGGGCCTGAGGAGCGGGGTCTGGCCGGGAACGAGGGCTGCCAGCCTGGGTGGTGTCATTTGTTGCTTCATTTTTCATTCCCTTTCCTCTCGTGAGGAATCAGAGGCATCGGGCCGCGCGGGCTGAGAATTCTTAAATTCTCCCCGGCCGCATTCGGCTGAGCCAACCCGCAGTTCCTGTCAGCCCCTCTGTCCCCCGGGCAGCGGTTTTCCCCGCTAGCCAGGTTTGGAAGTCACCCTCTGTGAGACTGGGTTAGGAAGTGACGAAAAGCGCCGAATTGTTTTCAAATTGAAAATACTTTTTTTTTTTTTTTTGGAGATAGCGCTGACAAATATATGGGATCCCGGCTTTTGATCCCTGGCTGCCGCCTCTGTTCTCCTGTCGCTAATAAAACTCGCATTGAGCCCCTTAGTGCCTTGATTAACAGGCAGATTAACTCTTACTGGGGTTGGGAACAGCTTGTCCTAATCAATGTCATTTTAAAAGCCCGTCAGGATGCGCTTAGCTTCGGTTCCCTGGATGCTTGAGCGAGCCAGCCATGACATTTGCTCCCTCCCCCTCCCCAGCCTCAAATCCCCCAGTAAAGCCCCCAGTTCCCGCCTGCCTGTTCCCAGGTCTACAACGGGACAAATCGCAGGACCGGGTCGTTGGCCTTTAGAATAGGCAGCGGTTTAGAGAGGGGATATCCAGGGAGAAGGGACTGAGGTGGCCTTGACTTGCTTGCTTTTCCTTTGAAGCTGAACTCTTGCCTCTTGGGGGCAGAGGTTACAGGGAAAAGAGAGATGGGGGGATCGTCACAGGGTGATGAAATGGAAAGCAAACTTTTCTAGGAACCCTATTTGCAAAAATCGGAGAGTGCCGCTGATTTCAGTTGTCCTACATGTCAGGAGTTTTAAACCTAACTCCTATCTGGACAACAGCATGGAGGGACTGGGAGGCAAAGCCTTGGGAGTCTGACCCGCTGGGCTGCTAGGAATCCCTTTGCTGGGAGACTCCACTGGACAATGTTATTTTAAAGGTATTTTGGGGGTGGGCAGGGAGAAGACAGAGAGAGAAAGAGAGAGAGAGAGAGAGAGAGAGAGAGAGAGAGAGAGACAGGCTGGCCTCCCAGAGCGAACGGAAGAGGACTGAGGACTGAACCCAGGGAGCCCCTAGCACTGGCCATTTGGCAGGAGGCGAGGAAGGGCGAGGGCACCGCGGCTTCCCCCCAAGCCGAGCAGTGGCCACAGCCTGAAGGTGCCACGGGGCGGCTCTGGGATCTTCTTGGCTTTTCTAGGCTCTGGGCTCGGCGAGGCTGCCGGGTTAGCGGGAACCGGCAGGTTGCTGGAGAAAGGAGAGGGACAAAGGCCTGGAAGTGGGGGAGGCACCAGGGACTGGGCGGCCGGGATGGGAGCCTTTGCCTTTAGGGCTCACTGGACCCGTTTGCCAGCTCCGCGGACAAGGGATCCCACCTTCCCAGGGTCTGCAAAAAGAGAGACGTTTGGGGCACTACAAAGTGACGCAGGTGTCTGCCAAGACTTTCCTTCTCCAAAAAATGCCAGTCTTCACCCTTTCCAGCGCGCCGGCGCTGCGCCTCTGCTTGACCGGGGAAAGAGAGAGTTTGGAGGTGTCAGAACTGTCAGAACTCCGGATGGGAGGCTCTTGGTTCTGAAGCTGGGAGCTGGAGGCACTTCCCCCCAGAAGTGGGCACTTCTTTGCCTCCCCGAAGGCCTGATGGGGTGGGCACAGGGGAATGCCAGGGATCGGTGCGGGTGAGATGCTTGCCTCACCTCATGTTGACGCATCAATACTGGCTAGAAGCTCTGGGCAGGCTCTGGCGAGCCACGGTCCCCCAGCGGGACTCCCTCCACGCAGACAGCCCCGCTACCGGGTGGGACGACCCCGGCGGCCCCCGCGGGAACGCACCCGCCGGCCTGAGAGGTCCTCCCTCTGGCCACAGGGGGCGGAGGGTAGGGGGGAACAGGGGCCTGTGGGGAGGCGGGGAAAGGAGACAGAACCTAAAGCGCAATCCCCGCCGCCCCCCCGCGTCTTGGAGGGCAGCAAGTGGGCCTCGGGCGTGTTGGTAGCCGCAATTAAAATGGCGACCTGCGAGTTGTCTCGGTTTTGTACACACCTCTGGCAACCGCGCCCGCACCTCAGTCTCGGCCCCCACACCCCTAGGCCGCTTCGCCCCCAGAGCCGGTACTTGGCAGAGGGAGTGAGGCTCCCCACGAGGTAGAACAGCACCCCCACCTTCCTTGAGACCAGTCCAGAGAGAACGAGGAAATCTCACTCTCACCCCTCTCTCCTTAAACTTTGAAAACTCGGCCTCATTCTGGGGTTGAACTCCCCTCCCCAAATATTGACACATGGGAAGCAGCCAAGTCCTTTTTGTTTTTTGTTTGTGCGGAGGAGTTTCCAGGAGTCTTTCCCGGAGCCCCCTTCCCCACCCAATGACGTCAGTGGCATTCACTCCTCGCTCCTTGCCTTTTCTGATTTTTTGTTAAAACTTTTCTCCGCAGCGAGATGGGGGTTGGAGGGGTGGGAGAAGGAGCTGATTCAAAGAGCCAGTGCCCTGGGGGGAAATAGCAACAAGATTACGGCTGCTTCTTTCCGAGGCAAAGCTTAAGAAGGTGCTAATCCACTCGGTCGCTAATTGAGAGGTTGTAAAAATGATACTCGCCTCCAGTTCGGACAGAATCACTTCCCCCCCCCCCGCCCCCCCGCAAGTCCCTCGCTCATGCACAGCGGACTTGAGTCTTGAGTCCAAGCTTCTTTAATGCTCGCTTGGAAAGTAAAAGGAGAGAGAAAGAGAAAGCCGACTTTCGCTGGTCTGGGACTCAGGGCCGCGGCCCCACTTGCCGGCATCCTCCGAAAGTCGCGCTCCTGCGAAATGAAACCTCGCCCAGGAGGCCGCGGACCTGGACACCCGGCGCCACCTCCTTCACCTCTGACCCAGGTTTCCTCCCGGCGCTGCGAGCTCCCGGGGAAGGGTTAGAGCCGGCAGCCCTCCCCAGCCCGGGGAGGGGAGAGGGTTATGCGACCCCACCTCTGGCTAGGGCCGGGGAGGCCTTTGCTTCCCGGGAGCCCTGCCCGGGCTCCTTGGTCGCAGGGCTGCTGGGTCCCAGGCAGGAACGAGAGGGTGAGGCCCACATGTGGCCCGGCGGCCCAGGGCGGCTTGCAGCGTCCTCACTGTCCCGGCTGCCAGGGGCTGCGGCGACGCGGCCAGTCAGCAGCGAGTTCAGGTCGCGCAGATTTTATTGATGAGCTCTGACTTTCAGCACTTTCCCTAAGTCAAGAAGAGTCTAGCGTACCCTTCGGCTGCTTCATTTCAGCCTCCCTGCCTCAGCTCTTCAGCCCTATTCCCCCTCGCCCTGTCCTGGGGTGTGTACAGCAGCCCAGGCCTTCCTTCTCCTTCCCGGCTCCGTGGCCCGAAGCCGCCGAGAGAGCTCGGGACAGCGCAGGACCAGGCAGCCGCTCGCTCTCCTGTCACCTTAACTGCAGGCTCCGAGGGGCGCCTTTGGAGTGTACTGAGGTGTGTCCTAATCGTGCGGCATTCAACAAATGGACTTCTGGTGTGTGGTCAGAAGAGAAAAGCCATTTACTTACTTTCCTCCCCGGTTTTCTGGCAACAGCTGAAGGGGAGCTGCCTCCGTGGACTGAGCAGACCCAGGAGAGGGAGTCGTGGTGCGGAGACACACGCACCACACACAGATGACCGGTGGCACACACGACACACGCTGACATACCGACATCGCCAGTGGGACACACACACACACACACACACACACACACACACACACAGAGAGAGAGAGAGAATCCCTCCCAGCATTGGTCATCCGCCCCCCCACCCAGGCTTCCACTCCCCCTCCCCTCTTATCTCCCCTGGCTTCCCCTCCTCTCGGGCGCTGCGAAAAGCAGCCGCACTTAGTCAACAAATGGCACGTGGGAGAAGTTGGTGAGTGTTTGGTGAGGACTCTTCAGGGCTTTTCACAAGAACCCTCTGTACACAAAGTAAGTGGCGTGTTTACTCGGGCCTCTCCAGCCAGAGCTGTGCCTCTGCTCCGCTGCGCACCGCGGCTTCCGAAAGGAGAAAGGAGAGAAGAAAGGGCGGGGAGAGCGGGGTGGAGGATTTGGACAGGCCCTGGAGGCTTGGGCTGGGGAGGCCTCTGGCCTCGTTTAGTTCTCGGCCCGGCAACCTCCTCTCGGCCTAGGCTTCGCCGCGGCCTCCGCAGCTGGAATGGAGCTGCCAGGACCCAGTGACGCTCCCGCCCCTTTCCTCTTCTTCCAAGGGGCCAGGTGGGCTGGGGTGCGGCCGCCGCTGTGCTCTGTGTCTTGGGGCCCCGGCTGGGATGGGGTGGGGGCGGGCGGGGGCGGGGCGGCAGGCCACGCTGTCCTGGAGTTGGCAAGAAAGGACAGCACAGAAACTTGCACCCTCCGAGGACTGGGAGTCCCGAGTCCAGCTTAGGGGGAGTGGGGGCGCGACCCCCAACCCAGAAACCTTCACTTGACCGCTCAAGTTCGCGGCAGCAGGGCGGGCCGCGCCGAATCTCGGCGTGCGCGGAGCGGGGAGATGCAGGCGAGCGCCAGAGCCCGGGCTCGGGGGCCCTGCGCCGGGGAGAGGAGCCGGGACCCACCGGCGGAGCCGAAAACAAGTGTATTCATATTCAAACAAACGGACCAATTGCACCAGGCGGGGAGAGGGAGCATCCAATCGGCTGGCGCGAGGCCCCGGCGCTGCTTTGCATAAAGCAATATTTTGTGTGAGAGCGAGCGGTGCATTTGCATGTTGCGGAGTGATTAGTGGGTTTGAAAAGGGAACCGTGGCTCGGCCTCATTTCCCGCTCTGGTTCAGGCGCAGGAGGAAGTGTTTTGCTGGAGGATGATGACAGAGGTCAGGCTTCGCTAATGGGCCAGTGAGGAGCGGTGGAGGCGAGGCCGGGCGCCGGCACACACACATTAACACACTTGAGCCATCACCAATCAGCATAGGTGTGCTGGCTGCAGCCACTTCCCTCACCCACACTCTTTATCTCTCACTCTCCAGCCGCTGACAGCCCATTTTATTGTCAATCTCTGTCTCCTTCCCAGGAATCTGAGAATTGCTCTCACACACCAACCCAGCAACATCCGTGGAGAAAACTCTCACCAGCAACTCCTTTAAAACACCGTCATTTCAAACCATTGTGGTCTTCAAGCAACAACAGCAGCACAAAAAACCCCAACCAAACAAAACTCTTGACAGAAGCTGTGACAACCAGAAAGGATGCCTCATAAAGGTGAGTCCGCTTCTTTCTTCTCGCTTTATTTTTATTGCAATATTCAGACAGGTCTCCCCCTTCCTCCCCCCTTCCTTCCTCCCCTCTCGCCGGTCCCCTCCCCCACTGCTACGCCGGGAGAGTTGGGCCGGAGAAGTTTCCACGCAGGAGCCCAAACTTTCTACTTCCAGCGAAAGCCCGCGTCGGAGGGCGACTGCCGGCGAGCGGGAGCGGCGCAGGGCTCGGGGCGGGCGGCCAGCTCAGCCCCAGCGCCAGCGCCAGCGCCAGCGCGGGCTGAGCTCGCGGGAAGAAGGGAGACTCCAGGCGCGACAGCAGCCGCGGCTCCTAGCCCCAGCGTCGCCCAATGCTCCCGACCCGCGGGAAAAGACGAAGAGGCTCTGTGGTGCCCAAGGCCCTGGAACGGCCGCAGAGAGCAACCGCTGCCGGCTGCTTTGTCCAGCCCGAGGCCCAGCGAACGCGCAGAGAGCGGGCGCTCCGAGGACTCGCCGAGGGAGCGCCGAGGGAACCTGCTCGCCGCGTCTCCGCCCGCCCGCCGGCCCTCGGGCTTTGTGCCGCACTGGGCTCCGGCGCAGAAGAGTCAGCCGGCACTCGAGCGCCGAGGGGGGCACCGCGCCCGCCACCAGCCCGAGTGGAGTCAGTCGGCAAGGCAGCCGCACGCTGGAGGTAGAGGGAAGAGCGAGCTAGCGCGAGCCGGGAAGGAAGCCACCAGGCCAAGGCGGTGGAACGCGCGCTCCGAGGGAGCTCAGAGCCGAGCGGGAGGACTGTCAGCTTCCACCCAGCCCCCGGGCTCTTGCCCCCAACTCCACTGGAGCGCTGAGCTCGGAACTTGAAAACTCTCTGCTCCCCAGGCTTCCCCCGACTCTCATCTCCCTTGCCTTGCGGAGGCTGGGGCTCTTCCCTGTTCTCCGGCCCCCTGCGCTTGGTGGGTATTTTTCCTTGTTTTCCTCTGATCCAGTCTCACCAGGTGTTGGGATTTCAGCAAGTTTTGAGGTGCAGAGTTGGTTTGCTTTTTTGTTTGTTTTACTCCGAATCCCCTTATGTTTTTCTTGGTAAGGCCTTGAAAATAAATCTGTATGAAAGCATTGGCCTTCCCCCTCGTCTGATCACTTCTTCTCCCGGCTAATTAGTCGGAGTAATTTGAGAGCTTTCGATTCTAAGATCCCAGGAGGAAAAGTGTCTTTTCAAAGTTCATAAAGTTGTTGCCTCTTTCCTTGTGCAGATTTTCTCAGTCTCCCTGCGCCATAATAGCCCTGAATTTTAGCAAGTGTAATTGGGGGAAATGGAGTTGAATTTCAAGTGGAAATGCTTTCTTTTTCGAGTGCTAAAACCTGGCTCTTCATTCATGAGCGATTTCTAGAAAGTTTAAAAACAAAGTGAACGTGGTTTCTTTCTTTCTTCCTTTTTATTTTTCTTATACTCTCCCAAGCTCCCTAAGCCATTCTGGACGTTTAACTCGAACTTGGGAAGGTTTTAGAAGGGGCTGGGAGCAGAAAATGAAATGAAAGGCAAAGAGCTTGAGCCTGGCGAGTTTACTGAAGAGAAATAATAGTTGTTGCGGTTGACATTACATTTTTTATAGCCAGTGACCTTTGCAAAAGCGTGAAGGCAGTTTGATTAGTTGTTATCTTATTTGGCCCTAGAGAGTAAAACTTTGTCATCATAATTGCTAATTACTCTTTTGGCTGGGGGCGGGAGGACCGAGAGCTCTCCCCTTTACCTCAGTTAAAGAGTTTGGGGATGGAATTTGAGAATTAAGTAATTAAAAAAAGAACAGCATTTGAAAACTGAGGCTTGTGTTGGGGACAGAGAGGTGGGGGCAGTGACCACTCTCTTGTGGTCCAAGGCTGGGGCGACTCCAAAATGTCTGGAGACTCCTTCGTTCAGGATGTGGTTCTATGGCCCCAGCGAGGCCGTACAGAGCCTCGGGCTGAGCTGGGGGGCTGAGGCTGCAGTTGGGGGTCTGACCTCTCCGGTGCACAGGACTGCTTCCGGGTGTCGATGTGCCCCACTTCCCGGGTTGCTTCTGCACTTAGTGTTCACGTTTACTTAAGTAATTAGATAGCTTCTTAGCGAGAGGGAAGTGGGAATGGAGCAGAACTGGAATTTGAAATACTACCACCTTCCCAGCTGCTTCGAAAACTAATCAACGAGGCCTCTTTGTGCTCAGCTACTGAATTTAAAAAAAAATGGTATCAAGAAGTTACAAGCCAGGATGGGAGCATTCTGTTGTGATTGTGCACAGCGTGGGTTACAAAGTGGAGTTCTGGAAGTTTTACCCCTCCTAGGGGAATTCCATTCCCCATCTCCCCACCTACTACTCCTTTGCAGCTTCAGGGTCCTGCATTTGTTGGGGTGGGGTATTTTGCATTAGAGTTGGAGATTTTGCCTATCCAGGGCATGGCTATGGGTGCCGGGACTGAGAGACAGGAAGGAAGCATTGGAGAGCCAACCTAGATAAGGGTAACTAGTAACCCTCTGCTGTGGCCAGTATTTACCCAATGCTGAGAAAAAGTCCTCATTTTCGGTTTATTTTTATGGATTTAAGCTGTCTACCAAGTAGTTAAAAAGTAGACCAGGAATGGCCTTGTAGAGTAAAATGTGCTTCTTGAAATTCTTTGCTTGCAGGCAGGCAGATCAATAATCACCATAGGTAAAACAGAAAAAATAATGCATTTAAAAAAAAACAGAGAGAAATGATGCTGTGACTGTTTTGTTATTTTACCTCTTTTTGGGGGGCAGACCTCTTGAATGGGCTCTTTATTGTAACTCTCTCTTCCCAATTGAGCTCCCCACGGTGCCGTTGTATCTTTTTACAGCCCCTAACAACTCACACCAGTAACACAATTACCTCCAGATATTTACAACAAGAAATTACTTTTCTATTTTCTCCACTCACCCAAAAGACTTTTTTTTTTTTTCCTTTGGGAAAGGTAGGGAGGTGTTCGTACGGGAGCAGCCTCGGGGACCCCTGCACTGGGTCAGGGCTTATGAAGCTAGAAGCGTCCCTCTGTTCCCTTTGTGAGTTGGTGGGTTGTTGGTACATTTGGTTGGAAGCTGTGTTGCTGGTTAGGGAGACTCGGTTTTGCTCCTTGGGTTCGAGGAAAGCTGGAGAATAGAAGCCATTGTTTGCCGTCTGTCGGCTTTGTCGACCACGCTCACCCCCTCCTGTTCGTACTTTTTAAAGCAGTGAGGCGAGGTAGACAGGGTGTGTCACAGTACAGTTAAAGGGGTGAAGATCTAAACGCCAAAAGAGAAGTTAATCACAATAAGTGAGGTTTGGGATAAAAAGTTGGGCTTGCCCCTTTCAAAGTCCCAGAAAGCTGGGAGGTAGATGGAGAGGGGGCCATTGGGAAGTTTTTTTGGTGTAGGGAGAGGAGTAGAAGATAAAGGGTAAGCAGAGTGTTGGGTTCTGGGGGTCTTGTGAAGTTCCTTAAGGAAGGAGGGAGTGTGGCCCTGCAGCCCTCCCAAACTGCTCCAGCCTATGCTCTCCGGCACCAGGAAGTTCCAAGGTTCCCTTCCCCTGGTCTCCAAACTTCAGGTATTCCTCTCCCCTCACACCCCTTCAACCTCAGCTCTTGGCCTCTACTCCTTACTCCACTGTTCCTCCTGTTTCCCCCTTCCCCTTTTCCTGGTTCTTTATATTTTTGCAAAGTGGGATCCGAACTTGCTAGATTTTCCAATTCTCCCAAGCCAGACCAGAGCAGCCTCTTTTAAAGGATGGAGACTTCTGTGGCAGATGCCGCTGAAAATGTGGGTGTAATGCTGGGACTTAGAGTTTGATGACAGTTTGACTGAGCCCTAGATGCATGTGTTTTTCCTGAGAGTGAGGCTCAGAGAGCCCATGGACGTATGCTGTTGAACCACAGCTTGATATACCTTTTTCTCCTTCTGTTTTGTCTTAGGGGGAAGACTTTAACTAGGGGCGCGCAGATGTGTGAGGCCTTTTATTGTGAGAGTGGACAGACATCCGAGATTTCAGGCAAGTTCTGTGGTGGCTGCTTTGGGCTCAAAACCCACAAACAGTCAAAACAAACTATTTCAGTATGCTTCTTCACTATAGTTCAGATAGAAGAAAATAAATCAAAATTGGGGCATCGCTTCTACTGATTAAAGGGTTAACTGCTAAAGAATGTAGGGGAAACAGATTGGGGATATTCCAGTACTTTGTTTCAAGCCCCAAAGGGTAGATTTTGTATGCACTGCAGGGCAGAGCTGAGTGACCCTCAGATCGCCCCAAGAGGTTGAGTGGATCAATTCCTAAAGAACGGAGATTCTCCTGTCCTAGCCCCAGGTCCACCTCGGTTGGGAGTTCAGGCCTACCTGATGCAGCTGCCCGAGGATTAACTCCTATTTTCTTGCTAACAGAGCCCCATATTCGAGCCCCGTGGAATCCCGCGGCCCCCAGCCAGAGCCAGCATGCAGAACAGTAAGTGCCTCTGGTCTTTCTGGGACTTCGGGCTCGGGGTGCGCGGACCCGAGGGTCAGGGGAGGACACAGGGACTCGCGACGCCCGCGCTGGCCCGGCCGCCGACCGACTGAGGCCCGGGGACCTGCGGCGGCTGCTCCCCGCTCCGCGCCCGGCAGCCCGGGAGGGGAGGGCGTTTGCTTGGCTCTTCTCGATACTGGAGAAGCAGGGGCTGGGCCCTTAAGAACAGCCCGCCCGAGTTTTCGAAGCTGCGGTAGAGAAACCCCATCCCCCCCAAATCCTGTAACTCACACCCCCTCTCGCCCCTGCCCGGGCTCTGACCCCGGAGAGAGGGGCTGGGCTGATCAGGGCGGGGCGAAGTCTTCTCCTAGTTGAGCGAGAAGGAGGCCCCTTTGGGCTTAGCCAAGACTGAAAGTCTCCACCAACCCGGCGGGGTTGGGGGCTTCTCTCCCCAAGTCACTCTCAGGGCAGCTCCTCCCCTCCTCACCCCACTACGGGCCTAGAAGGGATGGGGAGAGGAGCCCCCAGGCCTGCAGCAGGGTAGGGGTGGTAAACTCGCTGTTACAGGGCGCGGGAGAGAGCACGGTTTACTGGGTCTGGTAAGGAGGTGCCCAGGAATTGGAAAATCCCTGCCCTGGCAACTGCAATTGCTTGGGTCCTGATAGTCCCAGGCCCAGAGCGCTTTTGATACTTATGGCCCTTGTACCTCCCTGCTTTCCTCTGCCCAGACCCCGTGGGGTCCCACCCACCTTCCTGTTCGTGGTGGGTGCTGGTACGCGGCAGGGCTAGTCTAGAGCTCCGACCTGGGAGCCTGGAGGCCCAGCGAAACCAGGCCCGGTTTGAGGTTACGGTTGAGGCACACGGCGTCGGGGCTCAACTGAACTCAAAGTGTGGAAAGGCCCGGGTCTTCCAGCAGCCTGCCCTGGCCGAACCACACAGGCTTAAGGAGGGTCCCCAGCACCTTATCCATCTGTTTTGGAAACGCCGGTCGCCCCCTGGTGCTTCCGGGGCTGGTAAGCGCGTAGCTGAGGAAAGGGCACAAAGGTGGCGAGCTTTGCGGGAGTAGTTGTGCAGAACCTGCCGGACCCCAGGGCTTGGCCGGTAGGCTCGCCTTCGGCGGCTGGGCTCTCCCCTTGGAGCTCAGACTCCCCAGCCGCAGGCTGTCTCTCGGGCGGGCCCCAGCCAGGGCGCGCAGCCCTGAGCGTTTGTCGCTGCGGCCCGGCTGGCAGGCCCCGAGGGGCGCGGGGTCGCGGGCCGGCCGGCAGGGCTTTGTGCCGCTCGTTCCCGGGTGTGCGCGAGGCGCGGAGCATCCAAATTGACACCATATGTTTTCCTATTAGTTGCTTCGCGGTCGAGTTCTAGGCGCATAATCATCGCCAGTGGGCGAGAGCGCCAGCAGTCCCTAGGGAAGGGACACAATGATTGAGGCTTAACCTCTGAAGGGGAATTTGGAGCTGCGCTTTCTCTCTGCCATTTCGATGCTGGGAGTGGCGCTCTGGCCCTGGCGTCTCCTGGGCAAGCACCAGCCGGCGGTATCTGCGGAGGTGGCTGGCACGTTGTTATTTTTTGAAATGAGTGAGGAGGGAGGTCTAGATTTAGGCGGCCTTACGCGCCCGCCTTGGCATTAGCAGACTGGGAATTGCCGTGGCTATGCCCGAAGTTTGGAAAGTCTCTCTCGGTCTCTTTCTGGGACAGCCTTTCTTTTTCCGGGAAGCTTCCTGTGCCTAGAGGTGGGGCTCTGTAGCTGGAGGGGTAGATGGAACTTGCGAAGCAAAGGAAGGCAATAAAAGGAAGTTAGGAGAAACCGGAAACGTGGGCCAGGCCTTGCTCTGTTGGAGAAGCGGTGTCCCCGCAAAGTCCCTGCTTGCGCTGGTCCCGGCCGGAGCCCAGATCCCCCAAACGCCTGTCACTTCTCATCGAGTTGAGGCTCCGGCCCCCACCCGCGCCTTGGTGAGGGCCCCCCCTCAGCCCCAAGCCTTCGGCTACCCTGAAAACGCGGCTCCCCTCGAAGGGGAAACAAGTGCAGTTCAATCTCGTCTGAGTGATCTACAAATAAGGACGGAAAGGGTCGTTTTATCACGGTCCCGTTTGTCGTGACGATGCAATTTCCCGGAGCGGAGCACTGTCACAAAGTGACAAGGCTGCCACAAGCGCCCCGACTGATCTTTTCAATTAGCCTTCCATGCATGATCCGGAGCGACTTCCGCCTATTTCCAGAAATTAAGCTCAAACTTGACGTGCAGCTAGTTTTATTTTAAAGACAAATGTCAGAGAGGCTCATCATATTTTCCCCCCTCTTCTATATTTGGAGCTTATTTATTGCTAAGAAGCTCAGGCTCCTGGCGTCAATTTATCAGTAGGCTCCAAGGAGAAGAGAGGAGAGGAGAGGAGAGCTGAACAGGGAGCCACGTCTTTTCCTGGGAGGGCTGCTATCTAAGTCGGGGCTGCAGGTTGGAGATTTTTAAGGAAGTGGAAATTGGCAATTGGCTTTGTGTGTCTGTGGTTTTTGGGGAGGGGGACTACAAAGAGGGGCTAACTCCCTCTCCCTATTCTCTAAGGTTGGACCACAGGGATGAGGTTGTGAGATACAAAGATAAAGGAGGGATGGGGAACACTATGATGTGGTATTTTTCTTTTCTGTTTTTTCTTTTTGATAATATCTATCCTTGGCTAAGGGGAGGGCGGAGTTCAGCGGCGGAAATAAAGCGAGCAGTGGCTGGTGCGAACCGACTCCCGGCTCTAAGCCTTACTTGCGGTGGCCGGACTTGTCTGTGGCTGAAGCCGAGCCCGGGCTCTGACTCTCACGTCTGCACTGGAGGTGCGGAAACCTGGACTGGGGTTCACCAGCCACATACTGGCTGCTCTGGTTGTTCTCTCCTCTTCCTTCTTCTATTCTAACCAAACAAAACCCAACTCGATGCTTGTGCCAGGCCTTGGCCAGTTTGGACGGTGATGGAAACATTTCTGGATTTTAGCGTCTAAGGGAGCACTCAAGGGCTGTAAGGTTTGCTATCACTGTCCCAACACTGCAGAGACCTTGAAGGTTCAGTGTGGGATCTGTAGAACCCATGGTTTGCGGTGACACTCAGAGGGGATCTTTGGGAGATTTATAGAGCCGGTTCTTAGCGCTTTGTGGGTTCAGAGGCTGGCTGCAGTGTTTATGAAGAGGGGCAGTGGGCTGGGGACACTGCTGGGGTTATGGCTGTAGTGAGGTCCATGTGTACTTGTTCCTTGGCATGTGTCTGACTCTGTGTTGCTGCTGCAGTACAGTGGGCAGGGGCACGGTTGCTTGGACTGGGCTGCCCGATGTCTGGCATGGCTGGTGGTCCTGTTGTCCTTTATTTGATCGATAGCAGGGAACTGACCGCCGAGGTTGGCACAGGTTGGCAGGGGGATGAGGATGCATTGTGGTTGTCTCCTCCTCCTCTCCTTCTTCCTCTTCCCCTTCCTCCTCTCCTTTCTGTTCTTGTTCTCCCTCATCTTCCTCTTCCTTCTTCTCCCTCTTCTTCCTCTTCACTCTGCTCTCTTCTCTTCTTTTCCCCTTTCCTCTCCTCTCCCTTTCCTCAGGTCACAGCGGAGTGAATCAGCTCGGTGGTGTCTTTGTCAACGGGCGGCCACTGCCGGACTCCACCCGGCAGAAGATTGTAGAGCTAGCTCACAGCGGGGCCCGGCCGTGCGACATTTCCCGAATTCTGCAGGTGATCCTCCCGGCGCCGCCCCACTCGCCGCCCCCGCGGCCCTCCACTCTCAACGCCCTCTCTTCATTTCTTACTGTAAACGATGCTAATTATGGACCCCCCCACCCTCACCCACCCCAGTCCCCAGTCCCCCCACCCACTCCCCTGCCTTCCCACTTTCCCCTCTCCTTCCACCATCCTTCCCTATCTCTTTCAACCTGGGTCAGTTACATAAGATAACTCATCTGCTTCAGAAAAATATTGTGTGCGGATTTTTTTAAAAAAATCTTTCTCTTTTTATTTGGTAAAGACATTCATTGTGGGAACAGTTTATGAACCGTAATAAGCTGAGTTATATAAACCGGCATAATTTCATTCTGCTCTCCCCAGCCCATGCTTACCTCAGCTTTTGAGGTATTTGTTTATTCTTCATGTTTATGAATAATATATATTGATTTTAAAAGGCAAATGCTATTTACTCCTCCCTAACTCACATTTACTCAATTGAGTATTTTTTAAAGAAGAAGAAGTAAAAAAATCAGTTTATTTTTTACCTTTGTTCTTTAAAACATAACGCCACTTTAAGCAAGGTCAGCACAAAAATAAATTTATCTACTTCGTTTTGATGCATCTTCAGGCAGTGTTTAAGAAAAGTTTTTTTTTTAAAAAAAGCTTTTAAATTCGTTTTTTAGTTCAAATTGTTTGAAAGTATCATCATATTTGTAGTTTTTAGGGCTACAAATGTAATTTTAAGAAAAAAAGCTCTCTACAGTAAGTTCTCATACCATTGAAGGTATATTTTTGTGTTATAGACCCATGCAGATGCAAAAGTCCAAGTGCTGGACAATCAAAACGTAAGCTTGTCATTGTTTAATGCATACTTAAACAATTTTATTTTTGTCTTGAAATTATTAATAATGTGGTTTTCTGTCCACTTCCCCTATGCAGGTGTCCAACGGATGTGTGAGTAAAATTCTGGGCAGGTATTACGAGACTGGCTCCATCAGACCCAGGGCAATCGGTGGTAGTAAACCGAGAGTAGCGACTCCAGAAGTTGTAAGCAAAATAGCCCAGTATAAGCGGGAGTGCCCGTCCATCTTTGCTTGGGAAATCCGAGACAGATTACTGTCCGAGGGGGTCTGTACCAACGATAACATACCAAGCGTAAGTTCATTGAGAACATCTGCCCTCCCTGCCCTAAGCCCAATGCTCTCTCCTCTTTACCTCCTCCCACCCTCTCTCTCCACTGTCTCTTAGTCTGTGTCCTCTCCCTGCTCCACATTTGTCTCCTTTGTACCTGGGGGAACAGAGAGGAATGCCCTGACTTTTCTTTGACTGTCTGGAAAATGGGAGTCAAGTGTGGGGAGTCATTCACTTCATTTGCATGCTGCAAAACAGAGGGCGGAGGCACCAGGGAAAGGCACTTGAATGAAGAAGGAAAATGAGAACCAGATTGTAACTTCGTCCTAATCCACCTGCCAGAACTTTCCTTCAGGTGTCACACATCCATTTCCATCCTAATATTAAACAATATAATGAAAGAAAGCTTTACAACAAGTCTAAATAGTTTTTATTTTCGGGCAGTCTTTTAACAAAGCAAAGCAACCGTGTGAGTTAGGTCACCAGAGACACCAAGCAATGGTGAAGGACCCCCTCCGCCCAATTCTCTATCCAACTAAATTTCCATGCCCAAAGTGATAGCTATCATTTTTTCCACGGTGTATCTGCAAATCCACCCACTGTCCCGGGGTGGCTGGGAGCTTTTTAACGGGTTGAGAGTTGCTTTTTAAGGTTGTGGGTGAGCTGAGATGGGTGACTGTGTCTTCAGGAGACACTACCATTTGGTTTGATTTTGGTTTGATTTGCAGGTGTCATCAATAAACAGAGTTCTTCGCAACCTGGCTAGCGAAAAGCAACAGATGGGCGCAGACGGCATGTATGATAAACTAAGGATGTTGAACGGGCAGACCGGAAGCTGGGGCACCCGCCCTGGTTGGTATCCGGGGACTTCGGTGCCAGGGCAACCTACGCAAGGTAAAACCCAAGCAGCCATCCACGCAGCTCTCCATATGTGCATCCCTTTGCCTGTCCCCTACTCTCCCAACCATTTCCTCTCAGGGCTTCCATGCTTGGGGAATGTCATGGGTGAGACTGCATTTGAAGGCCTGGGACACATCGACCACATTGTATGTAGGTGGTGTTTGTTGAACCATTTTGTTGGCCTGGGAATGTGAGGGTTGTGTATGTCAGGAGCGGTATGAAGGTGGCTGGTGGGTGCGTGTGTGTGTTTGTGGGCAGCACTGTGTGCATAAGAACGAGCTGCGTGGTGCACTATTCAAATTTGACATTAGAATGCAGGGAGAGCCCCCTTGTAGAAGTGTGACAAGATAACGCACTGACAGACTGCGAGGTTAACATAATTGTATCCTGTTGCTTTTTGCTGTAATTGACAAATTATGTGACTATGAGTAGGGTGCACATGAAAAGGTGAGCAGGGAGATGCAGGGCGAGTCGGGGATGGGGCATTGGAAGTGGTGGTCTCCCAACTAAAACCACCCCACTATCCTTGCCCCTCCCCCGTTCGCCCCTCTGGGTCCCACTTTCTCACTCTCTGTGGGTGGCGACTATGTGGAAGTGGTGAGGTGAAGATACTGTGAGCAGGACGGCGGGATGCCGGGAGCCGCTCTGGTCTGGGAGGAGAGATGGGACCTGAAACACCCCAGGTTCTGTGAGAAGGGCTGGAGGAAGAAGAGCGGGGGATGGGGGGGGTGGGGCGGAGGGGAGGGTCAGTTGGCTCCCCTCCGCTCCCCTCCACACCCCGAGGTAGCTTGGTCAAGAATAGGAAACAGTTTACTCCGAAGATTAATCGGTATTTGTTGTCCTCGTGACAAGGAGATAATATGCGGGATAATGGGACGTGGCGTCTCACTCCCAGGAGCACAACGGAGCCGAGGGGCTCGGGGCCAGGGGCGGCGCGCGGGACTGCGAGGAGGCTGCCGGCGCATCCGTGAGCTCTCGGACCGGCTCCGGATGCCCGGCGCCTCCATGGAGTCGGGCGAGGGAAGGGAAAATCGGTAACAGTATGCGAAATATCTGGTACAAAGGATGCTTCTGTCACTCGCAAGAATTTGTTATGGGAACAATCCTGTCGCTCTGTAATTGCTCATTAGAGAACGTTTTGTTTCTCATTAAGGCGACATGAATAAGCGTCTAGTTGAAGGAGACAGCTGTAGAAATGTTCCACAAGAGACCTCTGGACACGATTCGGCACCAATTGCCAATTAGACATGTCAGTTTTAAGAGCAGAAAACAATATAGGACGGACACTGGGAAGATAGGGAGCAAAGCGCTCGCTTCTTGTTTCCCAGCGCGGCCGCTCGGCCGGCGGAGGCCTCCTGACGCGCGGGGCCCGGGCTCCCCTGGGCGACCCCGCCCGCACGGGCCCCGAACCCGCCGCCTCCGCGAGCTCAGAGGGCCCCCAGGCCCGCTCCCGCCTCTGGTGAGACTAGCGATTGACCCCACCGAGTGTAGGCAACCCCATCCCTGCCTGACTTTTGAAACCGTAGGATTCCCACTTGTAGACACTGGACACACCCAAGTGACACCCGAACTTCGCACTCACGAGCGTCCACCCCTCCGCCCCCAGCAATCTGAGGTCCTGGTGATCCCTCCCCTGACAAGAGTCTGGCCCACTTAGTCCGAGAAGTCTTGGGGAGGGACTCAGGGCACGGTGGCCTAGGCCTGGGAGGGCTGAGCCCAGAGCCTCCACTCCGGGCTCTCCCCGGTGCGTGGGCTCCCATGAGCTTGGGGCGCAGGATACACCCCCCTTCCGCTTCTTGGAGTTGGGCAGAAGCCGAGGACAGCAGCTTCCACCAGAGGTGGCGCCCGATTCGGGCGGATTTTCGTCGCCGGCAGTCTGAGGGCGGGAAGTGAGAGTCAAATCAGCTAGGGTCCGCCTGTGATGGTTGGGGCCGGAGGTGGAGCTAGTCCAGGGGCTTTTCACTTTAACGCGCCTAGTTGCTAGAAAATTCTGGGTCAACTGGCAATCACCACCCCCCCACCCGCAAGTGAGGTTTTTGGGGGGTGATTGTCACCTCAGGCACAGGACCGTCGCCCCTAGTTGCGTGGGGAGGACACGTGGGCCAAACGAAGCACAGAGTTGCCGGCGTGGGGGTAGCGGGCACCGGTGGTGAGCTTCGCTTCACGTTCCCGGGGAATCCTCAGACTTTTTGGTGCTAAGAGGGTCCCCCTCCCTCCCTAGCCCCCTTTCCCAGCCCAGGAAGCCTTTCTTGGGTTTTAAAGAGTCCATACTCCAAAAGCATAAGGCGGGGGTTAGGTCTCAGAGGGAGACAAATATGGTTTCCATCTGATCAACGCCATGCGGCGGTGAATAAAATCGCGACGACGTGGGCTGACAACAACAAGAGACAACTCTATCCAGCCCCAATTCTCCGGCGATTTGGTGGTTTTAGGGATCACGGAGACACTTTTTCTTATCTCCTCCCCTCACCCCACCCCCACCCCCCATAATACCCAAGCCCTCTATAGGATTTAGTCAGCCTCTCTTTCAACAGATGCTACAATGTTTTGATCCGCGCTCCAGAGCTGAAAAGGTGCCGCAACCGGGTTGCTATCTTTTCTTGCTTGTTTTCCGCCTCACTGATTAAGACACTAAGAAACTAAGGAATGATTTTATTTCCCAGCAACTCTCTCTCTGTCTCTCTCTCTCTCTCTCTCTCTCACCTCCTTCCAGGAAACAAATCCTATTCCCATCGTCAGATGGTCCTGGGGCTGGGATAATGGGAGGCGCTTTCACTCGCTTTCTCACGGATTAGGCTGGAAGGTGAACGGCACCCACTGAAGGCCCCTGCTTTGCGCGGCTCCGAGGGGGCGCCTTTTGAAGAAGATATCTTAATTGTCCACCACTTAGGTTTATCGTGGGGGTGGGGGAGTCGAGATCCAACTTCTAGTTTTATTTTGTTAAAAGCTTTAAGAGTGGAAGGCAAATCCACTAAAGTGGGGGGAAATGTACCCATTTTATGTAAGAGCAGCCGCTAGGTCACCGCCTGGCTGCAAACAGTTGCCACTTCTAAAGTAATGAACTGTCTCCGTGCCGCTCTCCCCGCGGGGTAGAGAAGGGATCCTGCAGCGACAGGTTTCTTTTTGCTGTGGAATTCCAATCCCCGCTTCCCATCTTTTTTTTTTTTTTTTTTTTTTCCAGATTTAAAATTGAGCTCTACTGTCCCTGCTGACTTTTCTCTCTTAAGTGTCAGTTCTGGAGGCAGCACAGGGCCTGGCGGCGATCGCGTGCTGCCTGTGTAAACCCGTGTGTATGTTTGTGTGAGACAGAACATGGATAAGAATGTGAATCTCCATGTTTTAAAATTAAGAAAATGTCAAAGAGGCAAATGAGAGCAGAGCATGCTATCGGCGGGGTTCTTCGGAGGCAGATTCGGGCAACTTTGTTTAATTGGCGAGATCGAATGTGCCAGAAAAGGGACCGAGATGGGGCCCCTAGGAAGGCATGGGCATGAGTGGCCATGGGGAGATGGGCATTGTGTTCTCCTCAGTGTCCCCCACCCCATACCAGATGTGCACAGATTTTTGTCTGTTTTCCAAAAGCAATAACCCTCCGGCCTTTCTAGTTGGCCAAAAGGAGCTATTTCCAGTCTTCCTTCTTCACCAAACCCGAAAATAAAGCGAGGGGTGGGGGTGGTCGCTTCATTTCTTCCCTTGAAAAACGCTTTGAAAAGTCCCCGGAAACTTGGGGCAGTAAATTAGCACAGACGCTTGTGCCCGCACACGTGAGCGGAGCGCGTCTCCCTCAGCTAAGTAGCCCTCCTCGACCCCCACCTTTCTGATGGAGTGCAAAGACCCAGAGTCCAGATGGGGCTCAGTTACTAATATTCTCTGGCCCTCATCCTCCTTTTCCTCTCTCTCCCACTCTTGTTCGGCCCTCGTGTCTCTTTTTCCTCTCAGCATTCTTTTCTGTCCTTTTTTAAAAATACCTTTCTAGCCTCTATGTTTTTTGAGCCTTCTTTTCCCCTCCATCGCCCTCTTTTTCCCTCCATCGCCCTCTGTCTTTCCCCTAACCCAGGCCCCCCAATCCTTCCCCCTTGCTTCCACCCCCACCGCTGGTTTCCATCCTGCCTCCCCTCCATCTCCTCTATGTAGGAACCCAGCCCTGGTCCCCGTCCACTCTCCCTGCCTCCCCCCATGCTGGGCCCTGGCCCCCCCATCCACCCTCCATCCCCCCAGCCAAGCGCCCTAAATAGCACGGAGGCGCCCGCTCTTCGGACAGTGATTAATGATAGCAGAGCAGAGGGGTTAACACACTTCACTGAAAAGTCTGTTGACTGGGCTTCTTGTAACACAATGTGGCCCGCTGCACGCCTCAAGAGAATCCTTTTGTTGTCCGCGCTCATTGTAGCCTCAAAATTCTGCCCACGAAAGTTTGCCAACGCTCCTGCCCCAGGAGTTTAATAGTTTCCCTTACTCGCGGGGCATTGTGCAGCGCTGAAAAGCAGCCCCTCGCTATTCAAGTGTTGGTGGTCATCTCAATAGATCTCCAAGGGCCCATATGGTGGCCAGTGCCGATGAATCCGCCTGTTTAAATGGGGGAGAAAGTTGGGGTTTTAAAACATTTCAAAGTTCCTGAAAAGATCCCACTAGATCCTGTCACAATTCCCTGAACTCTTTGAAGGCGCAGCCTATTGTCTCCTGGTTATAAATAATATTCCTGGCCAAGTCGATTCCCACCAAGGCGCTCCTAGGGGCCCCTCCACCCCGCCTCTGGCCAAGTTTTGAGGATAGGGAGGTGGGTAGCCCATGCTGGTATCCCTTGGGGGTCATTTCAGGACCCCAGACCCAGGACCCAGCCTGTAGTGGCCCTGGAGGCCCAGTCAGAGTTTAGGCAATCCTGCTTCCCTTCACTGTGGCCTTACAGGCAAGGTGCAAGCCGGGAGCCAGCTAGCCCAAGTGCACATCTTGCCCTCCAGGCAGCAAGGGAAAACCATAAAACTTTCCCCCTGTATAATGATAGAAGTTACATTCAAAGTGGTGGAAATGCCCTAATTAAAAATGTACCACTTAAATGATATGCCAAAGATTCAGCTGCAGCATAGAATATTTAGCTAGTTAGTGAACTCTCTACTATTTCTTTTTTAAAATTACACGTTAAAAATTTAAAAGAAATCTTACTTTTCTCTGGTGCAACACATTACAAAGAATGGACAGTCCTTTTATCTAAATATAAAATTCCATTTTCAGCAATTATAGCCTGTTCTTGGTGATGATATAATTACAGCTGTGCTCGTAATAGGTGTCAAGGCGAAGCGCACTCATACAATAGTTGAATAAAACTGCAGAACAATGCGAGCACTTCTAAATTCACAACCTTTAAATGAAATTGACTGTGCAGAATTCAAATAAAAACTAGATAAATATTTTTTAAAAAAGATTACAAGCTTGGTTTGGTTTCTTAATAGCATTTTCTACAAACCTATCAACATCTAATTGATTAGATAGGAATTACTGATTATAGATCAACTGAAATCTTGAACATCACTCTTCTATTTTCCCAACACAGCCATAGGTAAAGAGATTCTGTAGGGAGTGGAGTGAGGCATTTGGGGAGTTGGGGTTACTTATAAAAGATCATTTTAATTGGAAACTTCAGTGCTTATTTTTTCATTCAAGAAATGCCACTTAGTGTGTGTATTATAAAGTCTCATCTTGATAAAAACAAAGAAAATGGTGGTCAGGTAACTAACATCGCAAATGTATTTTTTTAAAAGAAGGCTGACAGTTACCTTGGGAATGTTTTGGTGAGGCTGTCGGGATATAATGCTCTTGGAGTTTAAGACTACACCAGGCCCCTTTTGGAGGCTCCAAGTTAATCCAAATTTCTCTTACCATCCTATTCTTTTTGTTCCAGATGGCTGCCAGCAACAGGAAGGAGGGGGAGAGAATACCAACTCCATCAGTTCCAACGGAGAAGATTCAGATGAGGCTCAAATGCGACTTCAGCTGAAGCGGAAGCTGCAAAGAAATAGAACATCCTTTACCCAAGAGCAAATTGAGGCCCTGGAGAAAGGTGATAGAGTTTTTCAAAGTAGAGAAGCAGTAAATCAAAGTAAATGCCACATCTTCAGTACAAAGAGCTAAATTTAGCCAGGGCCCTTTGCATAGAAGAATGAAAAGATTTCCTTTTTTCTGTCTTTTTATTTCTCTGGGCATCTTTTCAGTGTGTGTGTGTGTGTGTGTGTGTGTGTGTGTGTGTGTGTGTGTGTGTGTGTGTGTGTGGTGTGTGTGTGTGTGTTTCTTCTTTTCATCTACCAGTAATTCAAAGACTAAATGTCTGACTTATAAGGAAAAATGATGATTTGGCTATTTCAGGCCACAGAAAGGTCACTGAATGCCATTCCAAAGAAAATTTAACTTGGTTCTGGTGGGAAAGTTCTTCCAAGTACAGTCAACACTAGAAGCATTTTAAAGGGAATTGGTTGGAGGTAATGGGAGTGGGGAGGTGGGAACCAGTTTGATGCACAGTTTGGTCAACATATTTTGTGTAGTTCTGGCACAATATGGAAAATCAACTTACTCTTTCAGAGTTTGAGAGAACCCATTATCCAGATGTGTTTGCCCGAGAAAGACTAGCAGCCAAAATAGATCTACCTGAAGCAAGAATACAGGTACCGAGAGACTGTGCAGTTTCACACTTTGTGATTCATACCATTTGTCTTTCCTAGAGACAGAGGTGCTTGTACAGAGTACTATTTATTTATAGGACTAATATAATAAAAAGGTTCAGTCTGCTAAATGCTCTGCTGCCATGGGCGTGGGGAGGGCAGCAGTGGAGGTGCCAAGGTGGGGCTGGGCTCGACGTAGACACAGTGCTAACCTGTCCCACCTGATTTCCAGGTATGGTTTTCTAATCGAAGGGCCAAATGGAGAAGAGAAGAAAAACTGAGGAATCAGAGAAGACAGGCCAGCAACACACCTAGTCATATTCCTATCAGCAGTAGTTTCAGCACCAGTGTCTACCAACCAATTCCACAACCCACCACACCGGGTAATTTGAAATACTAATACTACGAATCAATGTCTTTAAACCTGTTTGCTCCGGGCTCTGACTCTCACTCTGACTACTGTCATTTCTCTTGCCCTCAGTTTCCTCCTTCACATCTGGCTCCATGTTGGGCCGAACAGACACAGCCCTCACAAACACCTACAGCGCTCTGCCGCCTATGCCCAGCTTCACCATGGCAAATAACCTGCCTATGCAAGTAAGTGCGGCTGGTGGTGGCCTGCATAACCCAGGCCCCAGAGAAGTGAGGAGTGGCTCAGGGCCTGCGGACCTCATTGGCTGTGTCTGCACCCTTGAGAGCTTTTCGCACTACAGTGATTGGCTTGACCAGTCAAGTCGGAGACAGTCAATCCCATCACTTTTAAGTGATTGACTCATTAATTCATGCCCTAAAAAAATGAGTAATAAAAATCTGTCCAGTTTTGTCAGGTTGATCTGCCTTTTATTATACTGTTACCTTGATAATGTTGGGTGGTGGTGGGGCATGTTTTGGGTACCAGGGAGCCTTGCACCAGAAAGTGGAAATAATGCTGGCACATTATCAGATAGCAGATTAGTAGTTTAAAATTTGGGTTTATATTAATGTGTTTGTATGCTAAATATAGAATCTGTGCACGCATTTGGGGCATTACTTTGGGTATATGTGATAAACTAGTGAGAAAGAAAAAAGGATCAGAAATGGGATTCATATTTACATGGTGAGATATACATAATATAATGAGAATGCTAGTTTTCTGTCTGTATCTACAATAAGAAAAGGCATAGCAGGTATTTGCTGGAAATTTAGTGTGTCTTTGCTGTGAATGGTGTGACGAGTTTGTGGCCCTCCTAGCTGCCTGGGAAGCTTGATGCTATTCACTTGGTATGACAGCCTGCCTCTCCTCTTAGTTCTGTCCCAAATATCTATTAGCCCCTACATTTAGAGGTCCTGCACTAGGTTCACCCTTTATGATGTAAGTTGGATAAGGCAGATGGTTTGTACTAGACCTTTGTTGCTGGATGGATTCTTGATAGGAAAAATGTCTGTCTTCTGGTAGGCCTTTCCCAGTGGTTTTCCTAGAACTCCTGTTTGTGCAACAATTAGAGATATTAGATGGTACGATATTGGCCAGCATGAGCCTCTGCTGGAAACAGTTCTGGGGCTACACTGATTGTTTATTCTCCATTGAACATTTTTTGCTGGATTTCAAATCCAAATAACAGCAAAATAAATGTTTCACAGTCTTCAGACTAATATAGGAGCAGCTAGATAAGCAACTTCAGAGGAATTATTCACATGTTTATTTTTATTGCATCTGGATATTGTTGGCCATAGTGCAATTGATGTAAATTAAGGGATTAACAGCCCATTAGTTGGTGTTGCTATAACTGCGTTGGAATTTTCCAGAAGTCAGGTTGCCTAGAGGAACTCATTGCAGGAATTAGAAACAAATGCAAGCTGAAATTCTGGCAGGCCCTCAAGGCCTGTTTGCCTCTTTGAACTTGATGTTAGCATTCATCATCTGACTTTAATAAGGCCACAGAGTGTCTCGTTCAGTTTCATGTATTATAACAACATCCAGGTTTCTGTGAAGATAGCAAAATGTGTATGTGAGAAAATAATAAGACGAACAAGTAGATGCTGCAATTATATTAGGGCTGTTTCCACATACAGAGCGGTATGGGGAATCAATCTATTTCAAACACTGACTTTTAAAAATTACATAATTTGTATAATTCAAAAAGTACATGCATTCATTAAGCATAAAGAAAATCAAAATGATCAATAACTTTACTCTTCAGAGAAAACTACTCTTTGAATTTTGGAGTGGGTGAGCCCGATTGTCTATCCATTTATTCATTCTCTTGACCAAAATCATCATTTTACAAATGGTGGGTGTCTTCCTCTGGACCTTCTCTGATATGCTTCCCTCTCTGAGCATATGGATTTTGGAAATTAAACATTTCTCCAGTTTGCAGAGAAGAGAAATGATAGTATACTGTACTATCATCTGACCTGCTTGTTCCCGACACACTTCTTTTAATTCATCCCAAGTTTGCTGCCATGGCATAGTACCATGAGAGCTCATGAGGCGTTTTGTTAGGAGAAAGGTTTACCTCCTCAGTGCTGCCATTCCGAACAGTTCGAGGGTAGCAACAGTTTTCTAGTTATAAGTCAGTCTGGGCTTTTGGGTCTGTTAGGAAGTCATGGTTAATTCTCAGGATGGAGGTCGTTATATTTACTAACACTTCTGATCACTTTAACTTGGGGTCATTACAGATCTGCTTCTTCAAAGAATCTTTAATCCCATCAGTGAAAGGTTCCCAAGGTCCCTGAACCATACTTTACTGAGAGCTCCTCCCACTGCTCTCTGTCCCAAAGCTTGAGATATGGGCTCTGGGGGTCATAGGGTTCCCAAATAAATCCAGATTTGCAGGGAGAGGGGATGTGTTTTGATGAAGGTCCTCATGCTATAGGTTCTTCAAAGATGCTAGCAGAGGTTAGAGACAAAAATCCTATTAATTTATGGATAGTGGCAACCATCTAGCTGGACAGTTGTCAGAACCTAAAGTGCTTTAGAGGCTTGATACATAGGCAGCTTTCTTCTAGCTGTGGCCAGTGGAAGGACTAGCTCGAGGCCCAATCTTAGATTTATCATATGGAATTCCAGTACTTCACGTGAAGGCATCTTTAATGATCAGACTTGTTGGCAGAGTTCCTCGGGAGGAGGGAGCCTGGGGCTGTGGCTGTGTGATGTGTTCCTCAGTAACCACAGGTTTGCCTCTCTCCTCACAGCCCCCAGTCCCCAGCCAGACCTCCTCATACTCCTGCATGCTGCCCACCAGCCCTTCGGTGAATGGGCGGAGTTATGATACCTACACCCCCCCACATATGCAGACACACATGAACAGTCAGCCAATGGGCACCTCGGGCACCACTTCAACAGGTGAGCCACTGCTTTCTGCAGGCTGCACAGAGGCGATCTCTCTTCACTAGAAGTTTACCCAAACAGAATCTCCTGGTCTTATGGGAGGGCGTGTTTAACTCCTTGCTTTCCTTGTCCCTGGGGGATGGGGATTGAAAAGGGAAATTCAGTTAAGCTAATTAGTAACTTTACACCATATAGACAAAAACTAAAATTGTTTTTCCTGAATTTGGTCACAAAAGTTGTGTATGAAGACAAGGCCTGAGACTGCAAGTTTTCTGAGGACAGATTATTAGACGAAGCTCAGTAGGGGGCCCACTGAGCTGTAGGTGCGTGCTTGTTGAAATGCTTCTTGCCCTCATAGCTCCTCTAGACCTTTTGCTGGAAATAAAAAGTGACACATTGGTTTTCCAGAGACAGCTTTATTGTAAAAGTTCCAAACATGCAAACAAACAGAGGATTTTTTTTTTCTTTTCCTTTGGATTGGGGTGGGGGGTACTTGGGATCCAATAGGTATATATACATATATTGTCTAGTTTCTGAAGGTGCTACTTTTATTTGTAACAATTGAAGTGATTTTAATACAGTAAAAAATGTTAGAAAGTATTAGTTTTTTTTTTTTTTTTTTTTTTTGTAAACCTATAAATTTGTATTCCATGTCTGTTTCTCAAAGGGAATATCTACATGGCTATTTCTTTCATCCACTTCTAGGACTCATTTCCCCTGGTGTGTCAGTTCCAGTTCAAGTTCCCGGAAGTGAACCTGATATGTCTCAATACTGGCCAAGATTACAGTAAAAAAAAAAAAAAAAAAAAAAAGGAAAGGAAATATTGTGTTAATTCAGTCAGTGACTATGGGGACACAACAGTTGAGCTTTCAGGAAAGAAAGAAAAATGGCTGTTAGAGCCGCTTCAGTTCTACAATTGTGTCCTGTATTGTACCACTGGGGAAGGAATGGACTTGAAACAAGGACCTTTGTATACAGAAGGCACGATATCAGTTGGAACAAATCTTCATTTTGGTATCCAAACTTTTATTCATTTTGGTGTATTATTTGTAAATGGGCATTTGTATGTTATAATGAAAAAAAGAACAATGTAGACTGGATGGATGTTTGATCTGTGTTGGTCATGAAGTTGTTTTTTTTTTTTTTAAAAAGAAAACCATGATCAACAAGCTTTGCCACGAATTTAAGAGTTTTATCAAGATATATCGAATACTTCTACCCATCTGTTCATAGTTTATGGACTGATGTTCCAAGTTTGTATCATTCCTTTGCATATAATTAAACCTGGAACAACATGCACTAGATTTATGTCAGAAATATCTGTTGGTTTTCCAAAGGTTGTTAACAGATGAAGTTTATGTGCAAAAAAGGGTAAGATATAAATTCAAGGAAGAAAAAAAGTTGATAGCTAAAAGGTAGAGTGTGTCTTCGATATAATCCAATTTGTTTTATGTCAAAATGTAAGTATTTGTCTTCCCTAGAAATCCTCAGAATGATTTCTATAATAAAGTTAATTTCATTTATATTTGACAAGAATATAGATGTTTTATACACATTTTCATGCAATCATACGTTTCTTTTTTGGCCAGCAAAAGTTAATTGTTCTTAGATATAGTTGTATTACTGTTCACGGTCCAATCATTTTGTGCATCTAGAGTTCATTCCTAATCAATTAAAAGTGCTTGCAAGAGTTTTAAACTTAAGTGTTTTGAAGTTGTTCACAACTACATATCAAAATTAACCATTGTTGATTGTAAAAAACCATGCCAAAGCCTTTGTATTTCCTTTATTATACAGTTTTCTTTTTAACCTTATAGTGTGGTGTTACAAATTTTATTTCCATGTTAGATCAACATTCTAAACCAATGGTTACTTTCACACACACTCTGTTTTACATCCTGATGATCCTTAAAAAATAATCCTTATAGATACCATAAATCAAAAACGTGTTAGAAAAAAATTCCACTTACAGCAGGGTGTAGATCTGTGCCCATTTATACCCACAACATATATACAAAATGGTAACATTTCCCAGTTAGCCATTTAATTCTAAAGCTCAAAGTCTAGAAATAATTTAAAAATGCAACAAGCGATTAGCTAGGAATTGTTTTTTGAATTAGGACTGGCATTTTCAATCTGGGCAGATTTCCATTGTCAGCCTATTTCAACAATGATTTCACTGAAGTATATTCAAAAGTAGATTTCTTAAAGGAGACTTTCTGAAAGCTGTTGCCTTTTTCAAATAGGCCCTCTCCCTTTTCTGTCTCCCTCCCCTTTGCACAAGAGGCATCATTTCCCATTGAACCACTACAGCTGTTCCCATTTGAATCTTGCTTTCTGTGCGGTTGTGGATGGTTGGAGGGTGGAGGGGGGATGTTGCATGTCAAGGAATAATGAGCACAGACACATCAACAGACAACAACAAAGCAGACTGTGACTGGCCGGTGGGAATTAAAGGCCTTCAGTCATTGGCAGCTTAAGCCAAACATTCCCAAATCTATGAAGCAGGGCCCATTGTTGGTCAGTTGTTATTTGCAATGAAGCACAGTTCTGATCATGTTTAAAGTGGAGGCACGCAGGGCAGGAGTGCTTGAGCCCAAGCAAAGGATGGAAAAAAATAAGCCTTTGTTGGGTAAAAAAGGACTGTCTGAGACTTTCATTTGTTCTGTGCAACATATAAGTCAATACAGATAAGTCTTCCTCTGCAAACTTCACTAAAAAGCCTGGGGGTTCTGGCAGTCTAGATTAAAATGCTTGCACATGCAGAAACCTCTGGGGACAAAGACACACTTCCACTGAATTATACTCTGCTTTAAAAAAATCCCCAAAAGCAAATGATCAGAAATGTAGAAATTAATGGAAGGATTTAAACATGACCTTCTCGTTCAATATCTACTGTTTTTTAGTTAAGGAATTACTTGTGAACAGATAATTGAGATTCATTGCTCCGGCATGAAATATACTAATAATTTTATTCCACCAGAGTTGCTGCACATTTGGAGACACCTTCCTAAGTTGCAGTTTTTGTATGTGTGCATGTAGTTTTGTTCAGTGTCAGCCTGCACTGCACAGCAGCACATTTCTGCAGGGGAGTGAGCACACATACGCACTGTTGGTACAATTGCCGGTGCAGACATTTCTACCTCCTGACATTTTGCAGCCTACATTCCCTGAGGGCTGTGTGCTGAGGGAACTGTCAGAGAAGGGCTATGTGGGAGTGCATGCCACAGCTGCTGGCTGGCTTACTTCTTCCTTCTCGCTGGCTGTAATTTCCACCACGGTCAGGCAGCCAGTTCCGGCCCACGGTTCTGTTGTGTAGACAGCAGAGACTTTGGAGACCCGGATGTCGCACGCCAGGTGCAAGAGGTGGGAATGGGAGAAAAGGAGTGACGTGGGAGCGGAGGGTCTGTATGTGTGCACTTGGGCACGTATATGTGTGCTCTGAAGGTCAGGATTGCCAGGGCAAAGTAGCACAGTCTGGTATAGTCTGAAGAAGCGGCTGCTCAGCTGCAGAAGCCCTCTGGTCCGGCAGGATGGGAACGGCTGCCTTGCCTTCTGCCCACACCCTAGGGACATGAGCTGTCCTTCCAAACAGAGCTCCAGGCACTCTCTTGGGGACAGCATGGCAGGCTCTGTGTGGTAGCAGTGCCTGGGAGTTGGCCTTTTACTCATTGTTGAAATAATTTTTGTTTATTATTTATTTAACGATACATATATTTATATATTTATCAATGGGGTATCTGCAGGGATGTTTTGACACCATCTTCCAGGATGGAGATTATTTGTGAAGACTTCAGTAGAATCCCAGGACTAAACGTCTAAATTTTTTCTCCAAACTTGACTGACTTGGGAAAACCAGGTGAATAGAATAAGAGCTGAATGTTTTAAGTAATAAACGTTCAAACTGCTCTAAGTAAAAAAATGCATTTTACTGCAATGAATTTCTAGAATATTTTTCCCCCAAAGCTATGCCTCCTAACCCTTAAATGGTGAACAACTGGTTTCTTGCTACAGCTCACTGCCATTTCTTCTTACTATCATCACTAGGTTTCCTAAGATTCACTCATACAGTATTATTTGAAGATTCAGCTTTGTTCTGTGAATGTCATCTTAGGATTGTGTCTATATTCTTTTGCTTATTTCTTTTTACTCTGGGCCTCTCATACTAGTAAGATTTTAAAAAGCCTTTTCTTCTCTGTATGTTTGGCTCACCAAGGCGAAATATATATTCTTCTCTTTTTCATTTCTCAAGAATAAACCTCATCTGCTTTTTTGTTTTTCTGTGTTTTGGCTTGGTACTGAATGACTCAACTGCTCGGTTTTAAAGTTCAAAGTGTAAGTACTTAGGGTTAGTACTGCTTATTTCAATAATGTTGACGGTGACTATCTTTGGAAAGCAGTAACATGCTGTCTTAGAAATGACATTAATAATGGGCTTAAACAAATGAATAGGGGGGTCCCCCCACTCTCCTTTTGTATGCCTATGTGTGTCTGATTTGTTAAAAGATGGACAGGGAATTGATTGCAGAGTGTCGCTTCCTTCTAAAGTAGTTTTATTTTGTCTACTGTTAGTATTTAAAGATCCTGGAGGTGGACATAAGGAATAAATGGAAGAGAAAAGTAGATATTGTATGGTGGCTACTAAAAGGAAATTCAAAAAGTCTTAGAACCCGAGCACCTGAGCAAACTGCAGTAGTCAAAATATTTATCTCATGTTAAAGAAAGGCAAATCTAGTGTAAGAAATGAGTACCATATAGGGTTTTGAAGTTCATATACTAGAAACACTTAAAAGATATCATTTCAGATATTACGTTTGGCATTGTTCTTAAGTATTTATATCTTTGAGTCAAGCTGATAATTAAAAAAAATCTGTTAATGGAGTGTATATTTCATAATGTATCAAAATGGTGTCTATACCTAAGGTAGCATTATTGAAGAGAGATATGTTTATGTAGTAAGTTATTAACATAATGAGTAACAAATAATGTTTCCAGAAGAAAGGAAAACACATTTTCAGAGTGCGTTTTTATCAGAGGAAGACAAAAATACACACCCCTCTCCAGTAGCTTATTTTTACAAAGCCGGCCCAGTGAATTAGAAAAACAAAGCACTTGGATATGATTTTTGGAAAGCCCAGGTACACTTATTATTCAAAATGCACTTTTACTGAGTTTGAAAAGTTTCTTTTATATTTAAAATAAGGGTTCAAATATGCATATTCAATTTTTATAGTAGTTATCTATTTGCAAAGCATATATTAACTAGTAATTGGCTGTTAATTTTATAGACATGGTAGCCAGGGAAGTATATCAATGACCTATTAAGTATTTTGACAAGCAATTTACATATCTGATGACCTCGTATCTCTTTTTCAGCAAGTCAAATGCTATGTAATTGTTCCATTGTGTGTTGTATAAAATGAATCAACACGGTAAGAAAAAGGTTAGAGTTATTAAAATAATAAACTGACTAAAATACTCATTTGAATTTATTCAGAATGTTCATAATGCTTTCAAAGGACATAGCAGAGCTTTTGTGGAGTATCCGCACAACATTATTTATTATCTATGGACTAAATCAATTTTTTGAAGTTGCTTTAAAATTTAAAAGCACCTTTGCTTAATATAAAGCCCTTTAATTTTAACTGACAGATCAATTCTGAAACTTTATTTTGAAAAGAAAATGGGGAAGAATCTGTGTCTTTAGAATTAAAAGAAATGAAAAAAATAAACCCGACATTCTAAAAAAATAGAATAAGAAACCTGATTTTTAGTACTAATGAAATAGCGGGTGACAAAATAGTTGTCTTTTTGATTTTGATCACAAAAAATAAACTGGTAGTGACAGGATATGATGGAGAGATTTGACATCCTGGCAAATCACTGTCATTGATTCAATTATTCTAATTCTGAATAAAAGCTGTATACAGTATGTGTTTATGCTACAGTGGGTTTTTTTAAGTGACTGACATTCATCATATTGGTTAGACAGTTTTAAAAACCTAGTCTTTGTTTTCTACAATGTTGTCAAGAACAAATAAAGTATAATTTGTGGTATATTAAAAGCAAGCTGCTTAAAAATGCTAGTTATAACTGCTTCAAAATATTAAATACATTTGAAAATGTATTTTGGAAATTCAGTTTCTCCCAATGGATGTTAAACACCTTTTAAAAAATCAAGACTCTTAAATATGCAAGTTACTTTTCAACTTTCATTTTTTATCCATTATCTGTCAAAAGCTTTGAGAATATAGAATTGTAATTAAAACACCTAATGTTTCATATGAAAACTGGTTCGATATGCTATACCCCCCAAAGACATGTTTACATGGTTAGAAATTTACACACTCAACCAATGTTCATTATTAACAAAATATTTATGTGATGCAATGGAAATCTGAGTTAGTTTCATTTTTTCACTTTGTCTCAGACCTATGTTCTGTAAAATCTCTCAACAAGCTTCAGTATATGTTTTTCTCCTGGTATCCTAGCATTAATGTAGCTGTCAGTTTGAATTTCAATCCTGAATGATGCCTGTTGACATAATTTCATAGTACTGACTTCAATTGTTTAGGATTACTAAACTAAAGACCATCCACTTCTTTTTTCTATGTTTCCTATCACTGAAGTTCTTTATATTTAATAACTACTATGGTAGACTAATTATCTCTAGTGGAATCTAAATCCCAAAATATTACTTTGTCTTTATCAATTTAATAACTGGATACATAAATGCAAATTTATTTTATATATTAGTAAACACATTTTCATTTAAAAAACAGCATTTTTGGTGGCAAGTGACTGTTTCTGTAATAAAGAGAAAGTATGTTTTCACATACAATCTTGAATTTCATCATGTTTTGTATGCTACCTGCTGTGACATGCACTTTACCATGACACTAAATGCCTTAGTACACACACGAATGACCACTGTCAGGAATCTTGAGATTTTGACATTTTTTGGCGTTTATTTAAAAATAAAATTATTTTCTCTAGAGCATGAAGGAAAAATTTAAAAGTATTTCTGCTGTGCTAGTTCTGTAAAAAGTTAAAAAATGAGAAATGGCGGCACCATTTTATAATCCTGTGTTTTTCAAGGAGTGGAGGGTCAAATTGTTAAGAAAAATATTTACATAAGCTATTAGCAATCATAATTAGAGTGTCATAGAATTCTGCATGCAGCGACTAAGGAGGAATCCCTAGAAGTCCAGGTGCTTCTTGCCTCCGGCCATCATGCCACAGCCTGGGCCCAGCCGCTTGGCGGATTCTGCCAGATCCATTTTGCTTGAGCGGCTCACTGTGTCTGACAAGTCTGGAGGCAAATGCAGTCGCTATGGCAGAAGATTTCAGGAGAAGAAAAAAAGAAGAAAGAAGAAAAAAAATTAATTTTGCTTTGGCTAGCATACTTCAGATTACAATATTATGCTCTGTTGATCAGCATTTAGACTTGCATATAAAATTCCTGCTAAAACAATTCTTCAGACTGAATTCCAGTATAATCACCTCCTGTTCCTACTGGATTTTACAAATTACAGCCATCACAGAAACCGTACCAGGAATCTTATTGGAACATTTTCAGTGTCCAAACCAAAATGTATTAAGATCTTTTCTCATTAGGTAGAAGTGAACACATGTAAACACATAAATAACAGCAACGTTGGAAATATCGCATAAATAACGGCAGATGTCTTTTTTCTTTTTGGCTTTGTTTTATTTTGCCAGAGCTCCAACATGCAATTTTTAAGGTCAAATGTAGCTTTTCAGCAATTATAGATTCCCATGAATACTTGTTTGTCTTTGTCTATTAGTTGACCTGACGATTCTTTTTCAAGGTTATACTTTCTCTAGGAACTTAAAATTTTCACAGAAATGTTGACAACATAAAAAAATGATACCAACCGGAGGGTCAATTTTTTCATATGTTCAGGTAAGTCAGCCACAGCATCTATTACCGGTCTTGGTAAGTTTGTTTCTATGCATAATGTTGGGTCATGTTTTCAAAAGTATAGTGTTGCTTTGAACACCCTCCCAACCCCCGCCCATCCCAACTGTTTTTCTGCAGATACAGGCTGATTTAAACTGACCCCAGCAACTGACCACAATTACAGAAGTTACTGCAATTAGGGAGAAACATCCATATTTCAAAATAACATTTTTCTGTTTTCAAAAGAATATCAAATTCATTTAACTCTCCGTGCTCCCAGCTCGCAAAATTTATTTCATAAAAATCCAAACTTAAAGGAACTTATCTGTTGTGTGAGACACAAAGTGGTGTGGGAGGCTAAAGATAAGGCAGCATAGGGCTCCCCACTGATGACTACACACAGCCTTCTAGAGGAGAACTGACCTGGAGACAACCTAGCTGAAACCCTTCATTTGGAAAATTCTCTTCAATATGGGGGGGAAAAACAGATGAAAAAGGGGAGAACCATATTATTTTGGTCAAAATATTGTGGTCCACAAGCATATGCTCCAGTTAGTTTCTTTCTTGAATAAAGGCTTTTTATTGTCATGTAAACACAAGCTGTGTGCACATGATCAAAATATTTTAAAACTAAAAATAATTTATGAAAAAATATTCTTCCTTGATTTCAACCTGCCTGTACTTATTTTTAATACAAATATATCTAGGATAAAAGATACTATTATACAAATGCATGATCAAGGAAGATGTCAGAAAGGTTAACGGGGTCAAGAAAAGCTGTAACACTCATAGAGTAATATCCATACAGAACTATTCCTTAGTATCCATGGGACCCAGCCTGTCACTTATTAAGCAATTAAATATCTATTTCTTGAATGATAAAAAAGCACAAATAAAGACATATTTGTTTCTTTGTTTTAAGCAATTCTTTCATTTCTTTATGCTCTAGTTTGTTCCAGGAAAGATTTCAGGCAGAAACAAAGGTATGAAAGGCTCAGGAATCGGCCAGGCACACTGGCTCATTTCTGTAATCCCAGCACTTTGGGAAGCTGAGGCAGGCGGATCATGAGGTCAAGAGATGGAGACCATCCTGGCCAATATGGTGAAATCCCGTCTCTACTAAAAATACAAAAATTAGCTGGGTGTGGTGGTGTGTGCCTGTAATCCCAGCTACCAGGGAGGCTGAGGCAGGAGAATTGCTTGAACCAGGGAGTCGGAGGATGCAGTGAACCGAGATCGTGCCACAGCACTCCAGTCTGGCAATAGAGCAAGACTCTGTCCAAAAAAAAAAAAAAAAAAAAAAAAAAAAAAGGCTCAGGAATCCAAAAGGCAGGTATGGTTCTAAAGTTTGGGGTTACAAATGTCTGTGTAGGGTTAATTCTATCAGTGTCCACGTGAGGAAGCAGGACGGAAAGAAACCTTTAATTTTATGTCTGAGTTTTAATGTTTAAGATCTTGTAGTTATTGCTAATGAGCAAAAGAAAAATGACCAGGATACATGCATAATCTGAAGGTTATCTGAAAAAAAAATTACCATAAAGAAACGTGCATGTATATACTTTTGGTTGGGACCTGACAAATGACGTCAGATGGTGATTAGGCTGTTTGGTAAATCAAGTGGAGTCAACAAATATTTAGAATCCACTTGCAGCAAGGGATTCTGAAAGCTTATGTCAATAGAGTACCTTCCACATTCATTTCCTTACAATACAGTAATATGAATAAGGCAAGCACATAGGTAACCCTCACAGGGAACACTCCAAGTTAGGTATACAAGAAAGGCAGACACAAACCAGAAATCACAGTTGGCGAAGGAAAACATGAAAAAGCTTTATGGGGTAGGGATCTGGGCTGGGTCTGAAGTAATGAACTGGATTCTGACATGAAGAATGGAGATTTGCTTAACAGGAGAACCAATATATCTTTACGATTACATGATGCATTTAGTTAACGGGTCATACTGCTCTGATAATCTAAATGAGAAAACTTGCGTGCTTTATTTAGAACAAGCATAATACAATTTATTTCAGGAGCCTACCTATTTGCTTGTGGACTGGCTCAGCATTTCTTGGCCTCTGCTTTTCTAGGCAATGAATGTGGTGAGCCAGTTGGCCGAAAGCCCTTCAGAGAAAAAGTAGCTAAATGTGACATGTGACATGCTTGGAAATCTTTCAGGTTGAATGGCTTTGAAGTAAAGTCAAATATCATTCGTGTGAGACTTCTGAGCATAAAAATTTAGGGGTAATATGATTAACTGCTTTTAACCAAATGCTACATTGTAAAGCTAGTTGTATATTCATGCCCTTTGAAAATGCCCAAGGATGGCTCTTGGAAATATGTGAATCTATGTGTGATTTTGCCTGCTTTTGTTGATTATTACTTGAATGAGCTTACTATGCAATCTAAATTCTCAAGCAGTGGGTTTTGTTTTCTTTCTTTCTGAGCCTCCCCCTGTGCGCCATGTCAGTGCGATGTGAAACAGCGAGGAAGAACGAGAGATCAGGTTCCAGGCATGCCAGGTGTGTCAGGGATTTTTCCTTTGAGGCTTCCAAAGCATTTACACACTTGACATGTAAATGTTCAGATGCTGCTGTATCCCAGATCTGTCTTCTGAAAAAAAATGCTGCAAGATACTCTGCATAGCATGGTGACCTCCTTTAGACTTAAAACTACAGGGCTGTAGGGTATATAAACTTTTAGACATTGAGGTTTCACTGAGTAATGGTTTAAAGAAAAATCAGACCACAAAAAAATCATATTATTCTCAACCTTGAAAACCAAATCAAGGTATTCATATTTCTCATTTTATACCTGGGGTTCTGAAGCAAGGGCCAAAACCAAAACCATATCTTACTTCTTGAGCTGAAATTTTTCCACTTGATTTTCTTTTCTCAGATTCTGGGAGGAAGAGACTGTGTGATGCAGGAGATGGATAGCTGGCTGGCTGGCTGGCTGCCTACTTTTTCCATTAATGCCTTGTCTAAAACAATGATTTCTGTGTAGGCAAACGGATCTGGGAAAGGTGTGACAACTTCCACGGTTCCTGCACAGGCCAGGGTGATTTGCTGTAATCCCACTGGATCAACGCTGCAAGGAGGGAAACAGTGAGGCTAGCAAAACACTCTGGCAGATTATGGAGACTCCTGCCAAAAGGCACCCTTAGGCCCATGGGAAGCCCAGGGTCATAATAAGGCAGCAGCAGCAGAAGTGATTTGCTCTGAGGCTCCAAGAGGTACCGAGGAGAGCTGGACTTTGAGATTCTTTCCCCTCTACTTGCCTCTCCGTCTCTTTGTTGGGCTTAGCCACTGTCTATATTTTGTTCCTTCTGAGTCAGCAGCTAAATTGATCCTATAGACACATAAGATTGGAATTCCTGGCTCAACAGTTCCCTTCCTAATTCCGTTTCTCCCAGCCTGCCAGGCCTGTGCTCAGTGCTCACAGTTCCCAGACAGAAGGGGCAAGATAATGAATCTCGATTACACCTGGATTTGAGACAAATTGCAGGTAAATACTCATTAAAATAAGTTTAATCAGTTTATATTTTTCACATTTTGCCAAGACCAAACCATCAGGCACTGTTTGTTTTCTGAAAACAACTGATGTAGTATACTTTGACCCTTAGCAGATGACTAAAGATTTATTTTAAACCTTTTAAAAATTTCTGACATTTCCTGAAAAGTCACAATTTGTATTGCTCAGGATCACAGAAATAAGCATTAACATTTCAGAATACTCCTAATAGATTTTTTCATTTTTCTTTAAAACATTGCCAATTTAAATGAAAACTTGCCAGGCACGGGGTAGCTCACACCTGTAATCCCCACACTCTGGGAGGCCGAAGTGGGAGCCTGGGAGTTCAAGACCAGCCTGGACAATAAAATACAGTGAGACCTCATCTCTACAAAAAAACCTTTAAAACTTTAGTAACTGTCTCAAAAAACAAACAAACAAAAACAAAAAACAACAACTTATAAATACCTTAGAACACACAGGTTCTACATTGGTCCCTTAACAGAGGTGGCCAGGACTTGTGGGCACTGGACACAGAGGCAGAGAGTGACAGTTTGATACCTGCCTCTGTCATTCACTCTCCACGTAACCTCAGAAAAGTCAATTCAGCTGGTTAAGCCTCAGTGTCCTCATCTATCATGGGGGAATGATTCTTCCCTCATAAGACTCTCGTCAGAATAAAATGAGATGTGTAAGTGTTTTGTGAACTATCAAGTTCTACACTAATTTATTTATCTCTTCTTGCTTCAAAAATGGATCTGAGGTGGTTCATAAAAGTACATATGGTATAACAAGACAAAAACAAGTGAGTTTATTAGGTCAAGGAAATCAATCTACAAATATAACGAACAAATATAAACAATAGCAACAGCACATCAGACTTAGCCACCAGGTCTCAGTCTGCCTGGAATCTGAGTATTTAGTATAATTACTCTCTACTGCGGCTCCTTACAGACATATAAAGCAAAGTGCAACTGCAGTCCCTGCTTCTGAGGTTTTAAAAGTCTAAATACTTTCCCTCATACTGAGTAAGGTAGGAGTGAAAGTGGGGTATGTAAGATGCCTGGCTTCTGGGCCAGTGTATACATGCATGGCTGTATTAAGGAGGCAATTTAGGGTGCATTTTATTTTTAAAACCTGTATTTTGCACATGTCTTCACTGCTGGCAAAATAACTAATAAAGGAAATGTCAGAAGATGAAGCTTTCCCACTCGAGTTTTAAAAGCATATCCCCCCTTTATATAATGGGGAGGAAACAAACGCTCAAAAGGCACGCCATCCTATTCCACTGCAGGTTTTCAGCTCTGATGCACTCACTGCAGGATGATATACTCATCTCTGCAGCCAGTTTGTATTCTGAACTGCTCCAAGTGGTAGGGAATGAACTAGAGTACAGGCTAAGTAGCTATAATACAGAGACACTCCTACCCTCTTCCAAAAATGGCTTATAAAAGGTAGTTTATTCCTTTTCCATTTTACAGTCCAGAAGTAAGCAATTCAGAGTGGGAAGGACTGGTCTGCCATTCTCAACAAGGGGTTCCACTTCTGGCTGCAAGGCTGATGCTCTTCTTAGCTTGTGAGAAGAAAGAGGCCAGGAAGGCAAGACCTGAAAGTTGGACACATCACTTCCACTCATGCCCAGAACAAAGACATGGCCACATCTAGCTGCAAGGGAGGCTGGGAAATGTCTAAAAGTGTGTAAAAATGTTTAACAAATCTATTACTATGGAAGGAGGAGTAAATGGATATTGGGAGACAACTAGTGGCATGTCAATTTCCAGAAGGGCCACAGCAAAATGATCACCATCCAGAAGCATTCACTCAGTATGTGAACTATAGCTGACTGCGGGGGCCCCATTCATGGTTTCTGACCAAGAAATGCATACCTGATGACCCCACTAGTCCAGAGGGTGGGAATAAAAGCAATGTGTTCATAGTCTCCCCTGCTCTATGGATAAACACAGAATTTCTCCTTCCTTTGTGGAAAGACAGATTTCCTTTCAGGGTCACAAGGAGGAGGATGGAGGGGAGGAGACAGACTATGTTCACCATCATAGTATGGCTATGATATCTTCACAAGATTTCAGAGTGTTGTTTCAACTTGCAAAAAAAAAATCAATGTTATATGCTATTATATAATCATTATATTTTATATTGTTATATTTGTAGTACTCCCTAATTATTACATTATTACAATGTAATATTATATTGTAATTATTCTACATCTGGTTAGGATTTGCAATGTGGAGGATGCATCTGCTGAATTTTGCATTATTGTCATATATGAATAGGCCAGTGGAAACAATGCCAGAACCAAATATTTGCTCTTTTTGGATTGGCAAGTGTACATTTGGTAGCAGCTGAATATTTCTGGAGCAAATTCTGCTAAACATGATTAGGTTTTAGGTTTAACTTTTTGTTTAAGGCCCAATTCATGCCCAGGGTTTAAGATTAAAATGATTAATCTTAATTGAATTTTATTGAATGTCATAATCATACTATATCCTTTAAATGGAAAAATATTCATTGGGTTCTTCCTGACTGATTTGAAAATTAGACAAAATTTCAGCACTGGAACACTGCACATTGGCTGTCCATTGAAAAATGCTCAGGTGTGCAATTATTTTGACCGTCAATTATAACTGACAGTATTGTCTTGCCTCCAAATTCACCTCTCTGAAAGAAGATTGAGAAGAACTCACTTGTCTAAACAAAAGTGTGATTTGTGAAAAGGCATGTGTCTGTGGCAAAGATTGCCAGTTTACTCCCAAAATCTATTCTCCTTTTCAGAGAGTACAAGAATTTCTAAATATTAGTGAGGCACATAGCCTTCTAGAACAGAGGTCACAGTTCCTAGCTTCCCTTGCCAATAGAAGAGGCTGAGCGACTAAGTTATGGTCACTTCATCTGGAGCAGAAGTGCTATGGTTAACTTTAGGGTGAGCTCCTTAAAGAGGAGGCACCATCTACTTATCCTTTCCCTTAAAATTGCTATTAGATCTTGGCAAGAGAGCCCCTGCCCTAGGTCCTGATCCACACCTCCTTTGGCCATGCCCCATCCTACAGGGTGAGGAATTACAGGGCTAAGGGAGATGTGCTTCTAGATCCCATACTCTTTTTTTTTTTTTTTTTTTTTTTGTGAGATAGGGTCTCACTCTTTTGCCCAGGCTGATGTACACTGGCGCAATCACAGCTCACTGCAGCCTTCCCCTCTCAGGCTGAAGCCACCCTCCCATCTTCTCCTCCCAAACAACTGGGACCGCAGATGCATGCCACCAAGTCCAACTGATTTTTTTTAATTTTTAATTTTTATTTATTTATTTTTTGAGACGAAGTCTCACTCTGTCATCCAGGCTTGAGTGCAATGGTGTGGTCTCAGCTCACTGCAACCTCCACCTCCTGGGTTCAAGCAATTCTCCTGCCTCAGTCTCCCAAGTAGCTGGGACTACAGGCATGTGCTACCACGCCCAGCTAATTTTTGCATTTTTAGTAGAGACGGGATTTTGCCATGTTGGTCAGGCTGGTCTTGAACTTCTGACCTCATGATCCGCCCATCTCAGCCTCCCAAAGTGCTGGGATTACAGGTGTGAACCATCGCACCTGGCCTTTAAGCTTTTTTGTAGAGATAGGGTCACACTATGTTGTCCAGGCTGGTCTCGAACTCCTGGGCTCAAGCAATCTGCCTGCCTTGGCCTCCGAAAGTGCTGAGATTACAGGCGTCAGTTACCACGTCCATCCTGCCCTTCTTTATAAAACATGCTCTGGGTACTCATAACCTCAGAATTCCCTGTCCAAATGACTACAAAGCCTGCACAGTTCTCTCCCCCAGGTTCATTCCCCAAGGGTCGACTGTGTTGTCTGTGTGTATAACATGGGGCCCAGAAGTAGCCAAGAGATGGCCATTTGTGGGGGATACAGTTTTGATGTGCAAGGTGGGCATCCACAAACATGTGTGAATGTGCCCTTGTGTGTGGTAAGGGGGCAGTGGTGGGAAGAGAAAGGAGGCATGCTGTAGGCCAATTCTCCGTGTGTTTCATGTTCTGGAGTGGAGCCCTGATCCTAAGTTTAAACTTGGCTTTTCAGGGAGGTATATGTGTGAAGGAAGATAGAACATATTTAATAGTTTGTTGGCTTAATAACTTAAAGTATTTAGGCATATAATAATTATGTGGTCCTTTATTTGCATTCTTGCTCTAGGCTCTTTGAATGTTAGGGATGAATCTAACTTCCCTCTTCCCACTTGCTGAAATGTGGACTTCAGGGTAGGTGCTAACACAGTCATCCTGGACCAGAAAATGGAAGCTATTTGCTGAGGAGGGCATAGCAAAAAGACAGAATGGGTACAGGCTCTCTCGACACCATCTGGCCACCAGAAGAGTACTAGGTCATCTAACTGGGCTTTATGTGAGAGATACATGAACTTCTACATTACTTAAGCCACCGTGTTTTTGGATCTCTGCAATAACAGCCTAATCTATATTCTGTTTATATAGTTTGGTACCTGACAAGTGAGGCACTGAAGTTCTACCACCTACCTAAAGGTATGTTGGCTTAGTGGCTTGAAGATAGGCAGTGAGGTCAAGTATTGCAAAGTAGAAAGCTGGTGAGCCTTGTTATGCTTGTGATAGCTTGGAGGGCAAATTTCCTCCCTCCTAATCAGAGGCTCTATGTGGAACATTAGAGAAATTCAGAATACTAGTGTGTTGGTAGCTTCTTGCCACTTTAAGCAAATTCATTTATAAAAGACAGATGAACTCATGCTAGAGTTATAGAATCTGCAAGAAGAGATGGAAGGGACTACCTGCAGCCCACAAGCTAAACTGACTAACAATTTGGCAATTGGGGCCCCATGGGGTTGAAAATACCCAACTGTTTCTACACCTGCACTCCAAGACAGACAACCTTTGCAGATGTCTGTGCCCCTAAGCCTTCGTTAAATACCTTCGTTAAGTGGCTGGTCAGAAAATGGGAGCCACCTCAGAGAAAAAAGATTAAGGGTATTGCCTTCCCACTCAAGTCTATTATTTTAGATGGCTTCAAGGCAGCTACTGATAAGACGAAAGAGTGAGATAAGGGTAGAGAGGCCAGAATGTTAAGTCTTTTTAAAAAATTTATTTTGAGACAGTCTCGCTTTGTTGCCCATGCTGGAGTGCAGTGGCACAATCATGGCTCACTGCAGCCTCAACTTCCTCGGCTCAAGCAATCCTCCCAAAGCCTCCGAGTAGCTGGGACTACAGGCACAAGCTACCATGTCTGGCTCATTTTTGTATTTTTTGTAAAGATAGGGTTTCGCCATGTTGCCCAGGCTGGCCTTGAATTCCTGGGCTCAGCAATCCTCTGGCCTCAGCCTCCTGAGCAGCTGGGATTACAGGTATGAGCCACCATGCCCCACCTAAGACTGAAGTCTTACAATGTAACAGTCATGATGAACAAGGGGAATGGGTGCTCAGCATCCATCAGGAAGTATCTTGTCTTCTGGTGTGTCTTCTTACACATCAGGGGCTATGAAGGTGTGCATTAGCTTTATCCAATTAGATGCATTTGTACTAGATTAAAAAAATGGAACAGAAACAAGAGCTATCTCACTGCTGCTTTAACTACCACAACTGGCAAGCACAGTTGTGGAGACCATTTATTTTTGTGTGTTGAGATTCCACTGACTAGTCAACAGCTTCATGGGAGTTGAGAGACAGTTGTGGAAGTTGAGGCCAAACCTCTGCTTCTGTGTCCAGTTGCTTGCTTCATGGGGGTCAAGAAGAAGTTGCAGTGGTGGCAGTGGGATTTACTAACCCCAAGAGTGCAGCCCCATACATGTGTTCAATTAATACCTCCAGTGGTGGTCTCCCAATTCTTTACCTTGGTACCTGTGCCTGACTATGGTACAGGTAGTTGCTTCCCTGCTGGCCAGTTTGATGGCAATCTCCTTCAGCCCTTCCAATTATTTCACTAATTCCCCATTTTCTTCTATAAACTTTCCCTCTGCATAAAATAACTAGGTGGTATCTGTTTCTTGCAACGGAATCCTAGAACTATGTAAGACAAGCTCTTTGGCTGTGATTACTTGCATGTGGAACCAAAGGGAAGCAAATAGACTGCAAATCTAAGTCCTGAGGAAACTGTATTGGCAAAGAAACCCCAAGCCTGGTCAAATGCCTATAATTATTCAGCCTCTACAGTAATCCTAGGCCCCCAAAACTGATCTATCAATAATTGAGTTGTGAAAACTGTGGAGCCCCCAAAGGGCATACTCTCCAGTGGTGACCTTCTGTAGCCAGGGCTGATAACAGACAAGGAAAAACTTCCTAGAGGGATATGCAGGATGATGGACAAAGGAGTTTCTTCCAGAGAGAAGTGGGTGCTACAAACTGGGCTAAAGTCTTTGATTGCCAAGGCAGATAATTTTTGCAGTTTCTAGCCAGTAGGATTCCTCACTCATGCCTGGAGAGGGAGTAAGTGAATTATGGCAGAGATTGATAATTTTTTTTTTCCAGTATCTACTCTCCCATTTTACTTTAGCAGCAGAACCCTTGAATATAAAACAATTCTGAATAAAAACTTCATTTTCAAACTTCCCTTGCTGTTAGTTGTGGACCATGTGTTCATGTCTGAAACAATGGGAAAAGAGCAGAAGTGAGGTTGCAACTTCAGTGTATTCCAATGGAATTTGAACTTGGGCAGTCTGGCTTCAGTTTACACTCTGTGTGCCAGAACTTTTCTAAGCACTAGAGACAAAACAGTGTGAACAAGACAGGCAAGACACCTGCTTTCAGAGAACTCCAAAGATTAGGAGGGACAATGCACAGATACTTAGATGACTCGAGGAGAGACTGACAACACATAGGAGGGCAAACAAAAAAAAGAAGATAATTTAGGCCGGGTGCGTTGGCTCACGCCTGTAATTCCAGCACTTGGGAGGTCGACGCAGGCCTAAGGCCAGCAGTTTGAGACCAGACTGGCCAACATGGTGAAACACAGTCTCTACCAAAAATGCAAAAACTAGCCGGGCATCATGGTGCATGCCTGGAATCCCCGCTACTCAGGAGACTGAGGCATGAGAATTGGAGAACCGCTTGAACCCGGGATGTGGAGGTTGCAGTGAGCTGAGATTCCGCCACTGTACACCAGCCTGGGTGACAGAGCAAGACTTATTCTAAAAAAAAAAAAAAAAAAGAAGAAAATAATTCAGGTGGTGAGAGGTGCTTTTAAGGAAACAAAACATGGTGATATGATGCTGGCTGGGAGTATGACTTCAGTAGGCGAAGGCCTTTCTGGAGAGTATATTTGAGCTAAGACCTAATTTTTTTTTTTAGAGACGGAGTCTCGCTCTGTCGCCCAGGCTGGAGTGCAGTGGCACAATCTTGGCTCACTGCAACCTCCGCCTCCTGGGTTCACGCCATTCTCCCGCCTCAGCCTCCTGAGAAGCTGGGACTACAGGTGCCTGCCGCCACCACGCCCGGCTAAATTTTTGTATCTTTAGTAGATACAGGGTTTCACTGTGTTAGCCAGGATGGTCTTGATCTCCTGACCTTGTGATCTGCCCGCCTTGGCCTCCCAAAGTGCTGGGATTACAGGCGTGAGCCACTGAGCCCGGCCACTAAGACCTAAATTTTGAGAAGGGATTCATAAGACCCAGAGAAAGAAGTCCCAGGCAAAGGGAATAAAATGGAAAAACCGTGAGGTGGGAATAAGTTTGGCATGCTTGAAAGGCAGAGAAAAAGTCAGCTTTTCTGGAGCAGTCAATGAGCAGGGGAGTGGCTATGAGAAGTTTGGCGTGGTACGCAGTGGTCAGATCTTGTAGAGTTTCTAAAGTGTAGTAAGTGACTTGGATTTAATTCTTAAGGGCAAGGGGTAGCAAGGAAGTGATGTGAGCTTATTTCTATGAATACCAGGGCCATCTTACCCACATCCTTACAAAGTCATGCATGGAGATTTGCAATAATAGAAAAAAAAATTGTTGCAAACATGCATATTCTACAAGAGACAGAATTTCCCCAAAGGTGGTATATACTGGCTATTAGATCCTGCTTTCTTCTGATTCTGAAGAAACATTCTAGCTACTAAGTGACTCCCATCTCACCCTCACCCTCCTTCTGTGGGGAGTGGTGGTTCTTAATCTCGTGCCTGCCCAATAGAAGATTCCAGGTAGAGGAGTTGAGACTTGTGTGAAATGTCCATGAAGGAGAAACTCTAGCAGTTTCTACTGTTGTGGGGATGGTTTGCTGAGTTTAATTCTTTTAAAATGTGACTTGGAATCTTTTGGCTACACAGCAATAAATATACCACCATCTTTCAATCCCAATGTTCCTTTGTTTGAGACATTTAAGAATTCTCCTCCCTTATTTTATGCATTGACAAAGAACAAACTAGATTATTCCTGGAAAGCTTAAAATGGTCCTTCCTTCATACCTTCAATCCTTCCCTCCCCCCTCCCTCCTTTCTTGTTTTTTTTTTTTTCTTTTTTGACAGGGTCTCACTCTGTCCTGCCTCAGCCTCCCGAGTACTGAGACTACAGGCATGTGCTAACACATCTATTTTTTGTAGAGATGGGCGTCTTACTATGTTGCCCAGGCTGGTCTCAAACTCCTGGGCTCAAGTAATCCTCTTGCCTTGGCCTCCCAAAGTGTTGAGATTACAGATGTGAGCCACTATTCTTGGCCTGGTTTTACTTTCTATGCAAACTGAAAGCAGTATCTTTTACTTTTAGTTTCTATTTTTTTTTTTTTTTTGGAAATTTTATTCCCATTAATGCTCCAACATGAGTAGAACTGAAAAAAAAATCATTTAGGTAACAGTTGAAATAACACAGCTGGATTTGTTAAACTGTACTTGGATAGTAAAAACACTGTGAAAGATGCCTTCTCCCTGACCAGCCCCCTCTCTCCAGCAGCATCATGTCTGGGATAAAGGAATGGGATGGATAAGTCACACATGGTCACTATTCCTGTGATCCTCTGATTGTGCCACATTGTCTAAATCGGTTACTTGATATCTCCCCAACTGACTCCCTTCTACTCATCTTTCCTTAATTGTGTAGCTGGGTTTCTCACTGGCAACCTTTTTGCTGGTCTCCAACTGCTGCTTAACCCATGGCTTGTGTGGCTCTGGAACACACAATACAGGCCGGAGCATATAAGCTCCAGAGTGTGTAGAATTTGAATGAAGCTTTAGCAAGGCCAAGCTGAGAGATGCTTCAGATCTAGTGCCTGCTGCTGCTATTGCCGTAACTAGAAGAGAACTGGGGTCTTTCTTTAGATAGACTACTATTTTAACAGGTTCTTCAAGCCTGCCTTGCCTAGGAAGTACCTTTCCTACCCAAGATAAGTGAGGAGACATTTAAGGAGCAATATTTTGGGTACTACCCCTCAGGTGGCTTAAGAATACTAATATATTTTAGGAACACACAATGTTTTTAGATCTGAATGTTAAGTTTGAAAAAGTCTTTCAGAAATATATTCAAACTACTAATTAAATGAGAATTCCTTTTTATCCTCGTTTTTTTTTAAAAGTATATTATATGGAAACTACTCTAGAAGTGGTAAAAGGTAACAATATCTTTCTGTTTGTTTACTAGAATTCAAACTAATGTTTGCTTCTTACTATAATCTGAAAGCTCCTACTTGGTAACTGTTAGCAGATAAATGTGTGTGCACATTTGAGGTTGATCCAGAGATTTTAAGAACTGCAGCAGATCCACTATCCAATTTAAGGATTGGCAGAGGTCTGACTGATACACAGCTTACGGAATAGAGAAATTCTAAGATGTGAAAAGTCAGGAATCAGAGAATTTTGAAATCAGACAATTCACCAGATTGCTAAGTTACCAGGTTAATGTCAGTCCCCTAAATATTAATAACTTTCAAATTTGGCAGCTTTCGATGAACACTCCTCTTGGAAATGTGGCAATCATATATATTTGTGTCTAACACATACATGAACGTGTTGATTTCCTTTTGGCTGTACACAAATGAGTCCTCAGAGCATAATAGCCAATGTCTTTGCTTGCATAATGCCCCACAGTGTATGCAGAACATTACTCTACAAAGCCCTGAGATGGGGTATGAAGTGCTCGGTGGAAATGGCAATGTAAAACATCCTGGCAGCATTAAATCTCCCAACTACTCTCTAGTTACTTTGAGACCCCCACATTTAAGGGTCTGCTAGTTCCTCGGTATGAAGAAAGAATTTTTAATGGGGCCAAATGTAGGTGTTTACAAGGGGGAATTGTTGTTTTTTATTAGGAGCTGCCTTATGTTCAATAGTTGTATTTACTTTGTCAAGCTAGCCAGAATTAGAAAATCCCCATTGCTAGGCAGCCTAGAGTGTCTGCGAAGTATTTCTGGGCATTCAGAACCGAAGCATGTGCTGCCCAAAGGCAGGTTTCATTACAGTGTGTTATTTAGTCCTCTTTCGTCCCTCCCTACCCCCACACCCCCAGATAGGGCTGCTTCTATAACAGGAAATCTTGGTTACTTTATGCTGAAACATATTTACATGACTGAAACACGACAATTAACACATTTGTAAAGCTTGAGGGATAGGCACACTTTAATGGTTTTTTGAAGCAGGCTGATTTCCTGGAGCTTTTAATCTTATTTTATTTTGTTCTGCATGCATGAACAAGTTCTTATTTACTATAGGTATTTGACAAAGTCTACCTGGTATGAATGTGAATACAAAGAAAATAACATGAAAATTAATTTTATGTTTTATCTTTGTCAAATTGTTCCTAACTTCTTTCACCAGTTCAATGTATATTGAGGACTATAATATTATTTTTGTCATATTGTATTAGCTTTTATACAAAGACATTTAGGTAGTATCTTTTTGGTTTGAGAAAATGAAATGAGGCTTTCTCTCTACTGAGTTTATAAAAGCTTTTCATAATGAATGAAAAGTATCAATTACAGCAGTGATTTTTCTCACTCTTCATGGACAGATAGAGGTGCACTCTCCTAGGCAGTGTGTATTTCACTTGCTTCAAATTTAAATTAACACCTAGGTGATATTAATTAGTATTATTTGATAAATGCTGTTGTGTGTGTTTTGCCTATTTATATATTTAAGTGTAAGTATATAGCATAACAATATTGTCATGAATACTTTAATATCTTTTAATTATGTTGACTAATTGCTAATTAATAGCTTTGGTAAAATTTAGAAAAAAAAATCTTAAGTATCAGAGCCCTCTGAAATGAAAACTCCCATTTTCCTTTTGATTTCTGAAAACATGCTAACCCTCAAAACCCCCACTCCAACTCTCACTTAAAAGTTTATGGCAAATTTACAAATTACACTGGCTTCACAGAGTTGCTTGATACATCTAGTTCCCCCTTCCACAAACCTCCCTCCTCACCAATTTGAAAAGGATCTTGGTGAACAGACTGGGCAAAGCGAGAGCCCTCTTTCTACGTGCCTTAGGGTGGTGATAGGGCAGCCAAAGACCAAGTGCTTCAGCTGAGGGATACAGATTAGAGATGAGGACCTAACTCCAAAGAGTAACTCTTTGCTGAAGTGACTTCACAGAGGGAAGTAAGCAGTAATTCAACTCAGCCTTAGATAGAAAGCTTTTCTATGAATAATGGGAAATAAAGTTAAAGGAAATGATGCAAATAAAGCAAGAAAAAAATACTGATGATCAGAAAAAAGAAAAGTATTTGTGAGTATATAGATAAATGACTACGCTGCTCTTAGGGTCTTTTTTTTTGGTTGTTTGTTTGGCTTAATCAAAATGCATGTTTCTAAAGAAATGTTAACAGGAGCTAAGTTTAATTTCCACTTGGATAATTCAGAAGTAATTTCTCATACCGATTATTTTCTATTCTTTAAAAAGTAATTTGCTTTTATATGTGGGGGATTTCCCCCCACCACCTAACTACCCTTGAGCTAATTTTTTTTTTTTTTTTACAAGGAGGTCTGAAAGATCCTCAAAATAGAGAAGAGCCAATGACTTCATACACCGAATCGGCTAAATCCTGTCTCACATTTTCACTGTAGCCAGAAGAGCCACTCTGGTCAAGTAGAAACCCTGAAGTTTGCCGTCATTTCATCCAGGGTCTGCAGGTATGCAATGGGAATGTTCCTTTTGGCATTTGCAAAATTAGTGCTCCAAAATGAAATAGTGGAGGGAATTGATTTTGTAATTGTTATGCAGGGTTATTTTCTAAGCTTTTTAGATCTAAGTTAAATGAAACATACATATTTTTGAATTTCCTTTAGAGGCCTTTAGTATTAAAACCACATATAAGAATTTCTTGAGATACTCAGAGCAAAAGAAAGCATGATTTTTTTCATCAAATGATTTCTAAAGTACAATACTGACAAGTTTTGCTATTTAATAAATGATGAAAAAATGAGTTTTTCCTTTAGAAATATATCAAGTAGTGGCATTTTTTCTTCTGTTTTTCATTAAGATAGCTTATGTGCTAAAGGGATATTAGTTGCTCTAAAATCAGTTTAAGCAAATACATCAAACATTTACCCAATCAAATATTTGTAAATTACAGAGTATATTACAAACACTTAGTAGTTCTGTTTCTAAATGAAAAATTATAACAGGCATCTTCAATTATATATTTATTTTCATTATATATTTATTTTCAGGTAACACTAGTATCTATAGGTGTTTGCATCCTAAATCTATTACCTGTCTTGTATATTTCAACAGTCTATCTTAAATATCTTACAATTTATTTCTCTGTAACTAAATATTAATATTTCACACAAAATGATCATTGATCATGTTGTAAAATCATGAGTCAAAACATCATCTGAAAAGTTCTGAAAAAAATAAAAATGGGAACATGTTTCTTGCTTCTAAACTAGCCAAAACCATTTCCAAACTTATGTCAATTCAAGGGACTCAGTAATACTTACACTATATTCCAACACCCTGAAACCATATGTATTTATCTTACACTAATAAAGGTACTACATGGCAAACATGTTAACAGGTAGATATACAACTAGAACTGCAATAAGGACCGGTTTTAGTTACTATTACTTTATCAGAAAAATATACTTATTGCCGTTATATTTCCGTGGTTATTGTTTTCTTTTTTATTCAGATATAAAATATCTCTTTAGGTTGGTTTATTATATAAAATACAATGCAAAGCAAACTGTTCACATGCATAAGAACTGGGTTTAATCTGTATTTAAAATATTAATGTACACATTTTTGATTCCCTAACAATTTTTTTCTAAATTAAAGACTTTAAAAAATAGATGAAGCACCACACAGAAGATGAACAGTCACAGTTTATAAACTACTCTGTATGTGCTTTTCATATTTATTCCCAATGTATTAATGGGAAAAAAGAATATTAACTTTTTGTAAAAAGAGAAATAAGTCTTTTATTAGGAGTTAATTCTCTTGGAAATGAGTAATAAATTATTTCAGATATTAATGATGGTAGCCAAAAACAAACAAAAAGCCCACTACATGTTATTTCTTAATAAATGTTTTTAAATAAATCAGGCTAAGAACAGTTTTTAAGTAACACTAATTTATGAGGTATCACTAATGCTCTAAAATATTATGCAGATTAATATTTAGTTAAAATATATACTACTTAAATAGTATTTCCAGAAAATGAGCAATGGATCTTAATTGTCCAGGGGATCTATTGTTGCACTCTATTTATTTATATGATAGGAAGTCTTAAATTCTTTCGTTGTAATTTTACAAATTTTTACAAATACAACTCATCTCTTTGATAAAGATGCTACTTATAATAAAAGTAAAGTCAATGATTACTCATATTATATCCAGCTTAAGATTTTGGTAGTTGCCCTGTTAATCTGATAGAAAATATTGATTAGAATGTATCCAAATATTAAAAAGAGTCTGTTTAACTTATAAAAAATGTCTACTTGGTTAGGTTGCATTAGGGCATTTTAAGGCAGAGCAAATATGAACTGATATCATCTATCAGTGTTTGTAAATATCACTAACATTCACGATGATATTGCAGAGGCATCATAAGGAGCAATGCAGCACCAAAGTGTATGCTTTTGGTTGTACTGTATACAATTTTTTTTTGTTAAAAAACTTTTAACAGTTAAATTTTAGAATAAGGTCACTTCTTCTAACAGCTTCATACCCATTACCATAACAGAGTATTTCCAAAACCATAAACAGTTTTTCATGGTGATGAATAAAAAACAGATTTTGCTGGGAAACTGTTCCTGAATCTAATAATTATCCTCTTCATCCTCTTAATTCAGTCTTAGTGTTTTGCTGAGGAGTGGGATGGGTGCCAGTAGCAGTCGTCAGGGGGATTACGGTTATATGAGTCTCCCATCAGGAGGCCAAGCAGCCTGCAATTACTAAAGAGCGGTCCTTTTGATTTAAAGGAAAAGTTTCAGAAATGGACTAAAACGTTGAATAATACACATGATTAGTAATTTGTAGCTGTGGATCAGGGGTTCCCCTCTACCAGAAGTGTTTGTTGAAAAAATAATAAAACCGACACCTGTGGGGAGTTTTAGTATTTCATTTTTCTCTTGATTCAATGGAAGTTCTACAAAACTATTACAGCTCTGGGAGGACCCAACCAGGCTCTGTAATCACCTTCAGAAAATTTATCTGTATATTCCATTGTGGTAAAGCACTGAATAAAATCTTTTCAAGCAGCATCTTTTATATGATGCCCTGGATTTTTAAATGAAAATGGGGGTCAAATTCTCTCATTTTCCTTACAAAAGAGTGAAAAGAACAACTGTGCGGCCTTGATGGCCGCACCAGAAGGTGATTTGATAAAAGGCGGACTCTGGGTGAATGCTGGACTCACATCAATGCCTTATTGTGAGTGCTCCCTGAGACAAATGAGCACTGGCTACGATTTAAGCTGTGTAATTAAATTTCACACAATATGAAGCAGCAAATGACATGTAAATTATGAATGGCCTATTCCTTACTTTCCATGACAGTGTTAAATAAGGGAGGTGTAAGTGAAATCATTAGATTATACTGGTCGGCAGAGACTTTCAAAGGTTGTCTTCAAGCACACACAGCTAGTTTGGCACAAACGATGTACTCTGAGACTATTTCAAACGGTGTCAGGACAATAAGTAACCAGCCTTTAATTGTGTTTGTCCACCTAGGTATAAAATAGACATTATCGCAATATTGTATCGCACACCAAGATGCTCGGGTTTTACCTAAAGTATGACATGACTGGACACCCACTGCAGCTTCCTTGTTTTAGCTGCAGTGAACATAAATATAAACTGGGATTCCTTGAAAGAGATATAAGAAAATACTTACAACTTTAAAAAAATTAGAAACTTCATTTCTGACAATAAAGCTTATTATCAATAACTATAGATTTTCGGTTTAAAGAATAGCCATGACTTATGAAAATAATAATGCAATCTTCCAATTTAAAAAAAAAATAAATGAAGCCCCATGGGCTACCTGTGCACACCTACACAAAAGACTTGGAAAATGACATTGAAAACTCATTTCTTTAGATGTCATATAACATTAAAATAAGTCAGACAGAGAACAAGTTAGAGAAAGGCTTAAAAAAAAAAGGTACCATTCTGAACACCAAATTCTACTTAGTAAAGTACTCATGTTGGTTGCAGTTTTAGCTGTAAAGTTTAATCTTTGGTAAAAAGGTGATTAAATAGCAGTATGTGAACACCTTAAACTATCATCCCTTAACATTCCCTTCTTAATGAGAACAAATCCCTCTTTCAGTAGAAGCTTTAGCTGAAAAAAGGGAAAGCCCATACCCTTTGCAAGGAAGCTCATTAAAAATGTGGAATGCTGTAAAGAACCTTCTCCCCATGCAGAGTCTTTCTGCTTGAGTAAGTATGAGAAGCCTGGAGGATAAATGTTCCTCTCTTGTCTCAAGTAGTTGTCTTGCACCCACTGCCTCAGAGAAAAGAGACACAACTTGTTAGTCAACAGTAATTTTGAAGGGATGGAGAAGGATTAGAGGGGGAAAAAGCTAACATCTCATTTTCTTTCTCAATTGTGTATCTTTTTAAAAGCACAGTGAACTCATCTATCCTAAATATTTGCAACAAATCAAGCGACAGGAAAGGGCTTATATTTGGATATTTTTAAGAATGCATATTTTCAATGGCTATCCTTAAAGGATATTTGTTTTTCATCACAGATATTTTAACAGTGACATGTTAATTTTAAAATGGTCATCTAATTTAAATGATATGCTTTTTTTTTTTGCTCATTATACAGAATTGCATTTAAAGAAGCCAAATCTTGAGTAGAAAAGTTTACATCTGAGCTTACTTATCTTTTGTTATTATTTAAAGTACTTTTGTTTTTATTCAATAATAGCCCATAAATAGCTATAGGGAAAACTGCTCATTTCTATATTTAATACTTTCCTATATATAATATTCAAGGTATAAAATCTGTATCAGGTTGATCATTATTTATATTATATTGCACACTGAAAAAAATTATTTTTCTATAAAAAATTCCAATAAGCACACTTATCTGAAGTACTTTTAGAGCTAAATAGCTGTTTAAAAAATATATCTTAAGACATAAGAAATTAGAGCTGAATAAACTATATGGCAAATTAATATATAAAAAAATCTATATTTTAGCTAAGAATGCCTTCTAGTTAATTATTTAAAATTAATCATACATATGATACATGAGCTGTAAATAATCATAGCTAAATATACTTAAAAATGACTGTAATCTACAGGAAGAACATACATTTGTCTATCAAAATGCAAAATATAAAACCAAAATTACTTCTGACTTAAAAAGAGAAAGTGAAAAGATTCTTATTGTAGAAAGTCTTTATTTTAATAAGTATTTTTGAAGTCTAAAGGTTATTTTTTAAAAATTTAAAAATTTACATTTTTTAAACTCTATCATTTAATTTCAAGTTCTTTCGAATAAAATGTAGATTTCTGTAAGGTAATAAAAAGTTCACTGGTCCTGCTTTTGAAGGCTGTTAAGGAAAAAATCATTTAAATAAACTTTGTTGTGAAGACAAGAAGGTAGGCAAAAGTTATCTTTTTACTACTTTGCCTCAATCTCAGTGATATTTACATTATTTTCATATAATCTAATTTGTGCATAGGTCAAGTTTTTTTCTGTTTTGTAGTGTTATATTGTCTTTGTGTCTGGTTTAGATGTTAAAGGTTGTGCTAAATATCTCGTGAGCTGTAATAGTTTCAGTCTGCTTACCATGGTCACTGTAGATCATTTCTGCCTAGCTTTTCAAGTATCCTCCATTAACTGTCAGGATGGTCCATTTCACAATCAAGCCAACTTATATCTGTCTGGATTACACTCTAAGGTTTCTGACCCTTTCTGAGTCGCCACTTATTACTTAAATCTTAAACTTCATTTCTGTGCTTGACAGCAATGCCATTGTTTTGCTTATTTTCTGATTGGGAGGCTGGCAGTCTCTTCTGAGACTGATGCCAACTGAGCTCTGTGTATCAGCCAGTAGGAGTCACTTGGAGCAGATGGTCATCATCCTTCCCCACAGCCCAAATCCCTGGTCTGGGTGGCAAAGTCCCAAGACCACACCTACATACATGCCAACTGTCCTTATTTACTAAGATACTCCTTCTTATTTGTTTAGCTTAATAAATCATTTGCCCTAATATCTTTCTAATGAACTTATGTTCTCATTTCAATTTTCTTTAATATATCTTCCTATTAGCATATCTCCCCACTGTCCCTATCCTTTATTGCCCATGCTATTAGAAGGTACATTTTTAAATTCAAATCTTTTTTTGGTTTCATAAATGTCCATCTTTACAGAGATTTTATATACTTACTGGTATATATGTAACAGGTTGAAATTCTATTCTGGTGAAAAAGTATATTGACTCCTTCCATTTCCATTCCTCCAACTTAAAATATTAAAGTTCAATCTTGGGTATAGTTAAAAAATGAGTAATTGTTTTATCACTCTAAACAGCATCTGAATGGCTTTTTTTTTTTTTTGAGACAGGGCCTTGCTCTGTTGCTCAGGCTGGAGTGTAGTCGTGCAATCATGGCTCACTGCAGCCTCCACCTCCTGGGTTCAAGTGATCCTCCCACCTCAGCCTCCTGAGTAGCTGGGACCACAAGTGTGTGCCACCATGCCCAGCTAATTTTTGAAATTTTTTGTAGAGACAGGGTCTTGCCATGTTGCCGAAGCGATCCCCCTGCCTTGGCCTCCAAAGTGGTGGGATTACAGGCGTGAGCCACCGCGAACAGCCTTGCCATTGAGTTGATAAAATTTCTGAAAAAGCCGATACCTAACTTAACTATAGAACACAGCATATAGTTTAATTCCTAAGAGAGCTAAAGATTCATAAAATACTCAAAATAAATTTAAGCCCCATAGTTCCTTACTCTTGGGGATGTATAGTTATTGGGAACATCCTAAGCCTAACTTTTTGAAATAGCAGTGAATTATTAGTACATGTTATTTTTGGATTGAGAAAGCAATGCATCTGATCACTCAGAAACATACAACATTCTGGTAAAAAGATGACTGGTCTCTGCTATTATAATCATAACGTAATAGGGTTAAATAATATGTCATAATAATTTGCATTTAATTTTCCCTTAGAATCATCTGGAATATCTAAGGAAGTCATCTAAGTACAGTTACAGGAAGTATTATTTCTAAAAAGTTATATCTAAATTAAATTGACATGAAGTGAAATATGCTATTTAACTTATACTTAAGTGGGACCTATTAGGAATCTTGTGTAAAGTTAAAAGATCTTTTGAAATACAAATATCGTCTTCTAATGTTTTTATAATACATTTAAAAAAATCTAGCATACTTAAACTGATGCATATTTCTACTTAAGGAAAAGAACTTGCCAAAGCAAGAAAGATAAAATCAGGATGGCAAGATATATTTCAACCTGTTAAGCTGGGGTTTAGAGTAATTTCTTTCAAGGACTAGAGGCATTCTGGAAATATTATGAAATCCACAGGAAAGAAGAAATAGGAGTTTTTGAGCCTAGATTAGATTTAACGTGGTGACATGTTTCAAAGTTGTGCCATTAGGAAACAGCAGGCCAAATAAATGAGATACTGCTTAGTCAAAACTTCAGTTTTTCTAGTGTCCATGTAGCTAAGGTAAGCTTCTCTTTCCCTAGCACTGGAGGAGAAGTTGGTATGTAATTTGTTGGGAGTTTATGTGATATAGAGTCCATCCCAAAGGTGGACATAAAAGTATATATCTTTATGGTAGTCAGGCTCATCAATATCTCAGATCACTTAATAAAGCACTGAAGCTGATGAATACAAACTATTCAAGCTGGTAATCAGAAAACACTGACCGACCATAGTGGCTCATAGCCTGTAATCCCAGCACTTTGGGAAGGCGAGGCAGGTGGATTACTTGAGGTCAGGAGTTCAAGACTACCCTGGCCAAGTGAAACCCTGTCTCTGCTAAAAATACAAAAATTAGCTGTGTGTCGTGGCATATACCTGTAATCCCAGCTACTCGGGAGGCTGAGGCACAAGAATCCCTTGAACCCAAGAGGCGGAGGTTGCAGTGAGCCAAGCCCGTGCCACTGCACTCCAGCCTGGGTGACAGAGCGAGACTCCGTCTCAAAAAAAAAAAAAGAAAAAAGAAAAAAGAAAAAGAAAAGAAAACACTTAAACGAGGTAGGGCATATTACATGAAAAACAATGCTATTAGTGTGTGAAAATAAGCCTTAATAAAAAGTAAGCAACAGGCTGTTTTGTACTTTGTGGAGGTTTATGAGAAGATGCATATTACACAGTTAGTGAAATTATGTTTTTGGGAGCTTGGGAAAAGGAAAGTGAATTCTTACTTCAGACACCTTTTAGGACAAATCTCCCTTTAAAAAGAAAGGATAGTTTGCATATCCATGAATGATATATTTTCCTTACCCTAATAAGGTATGGCTAATGTTAGCATAGGTGCTCCAGTCATTCAGGATAAAATCAATTATTTTTAAGCAGTGGATTCTTGTAGAATTATACATAGGCATTTAAGGCACCTAAGGACAAAGGAAAAAACTCAAAACTTAATATATTCTCTAATTTTGCTTTTCTACTAGAAGGAAATATGTGTGGGAAAGAACTTCTTGATTTGTAAATTAATTACTTTGGAGGATGATTAACGCATTATGTGGGTACACCAAGCAAAACTTCTTTTTGCTATTTGTTGTATAGGTAACAGAATATAAGATTAATTCTCAGCATGTGTAGTCATTTAAATAAAAACATATTAAGCAATTTTGTTAATTTTCACAGAACAGAATGATGGAAGAAAGTAAGTCACAAACGTATATCTACCAATAAGAAAACAACTAGATATATTACATAATATGACATGAGCTTGTTAAGATCATTAAACGTTTTAAAAATTTTCTATTAAAAACTTCTGGCTGGGTGTGGTGGCTCACTTAGGTTAGGATTTCGAGACCAGCTTGGGCAACATGGTGAGACCTTGTCTCTACAAAAAATACAAAAATTAGCTGAGTGTGGTGGTGTGCACTTGTAGTCTCAGCTTATTTGGGAGGCTGAGGTGGGAGAACTGCTTGAACCTGGAAGGTGGAGTTTGCTGTGAGCTGTGACTGCACCACTGTACTCAAGCCTGGGCAACAGAGTGAGACCATCTCAAAAAAAAAAAAAAAAGTTCCACCCTCTTTGTCAACATATCATTAACAACAGAATTTATTTCATATAAAATGTTTTAGTGTGAGGTGAGGTCTTGTACAATATATTGTGACATATACTATCTGACAAAACTTGGGTTGGGCAAAAAATGCAAAAGCAGAGAATTTTCTAGGTTGACAACGTCCATGGTCATAATAGTCTAGTCCAGTTGAAACACAGGGCAATTATCATCTATAAAACCTTGGGCTTAACAATCAAGTTCCTATAAGTCTATCTATTTGATTTCAACAACCATTAATTTCTAATTTCTTCACTATATTGCTATACAACTCAAACAGATTCCATTTCTGGAATGATAAAGAACGAACATGAGTGTGACCCACAAATTAAAGGCTGAGATAATATAAAAAATCCTCGAGGAATTTACCTAGTGGTAGGAAATTCAACCATGGGATGGTTGTTAATACGCTCTGAAATTAGAAGTTGAAAACTGAATTCAGTAACTTTAAGCTGTGTTGAAAGATCTGTAGAACCACATTGTAAAATAACATTATTAATCATTGTTTGACTTGAAAATAAACATAAAATTCACCAATGACATTAAGTATAAAATTGTTTAATATAGTCCTGAATTGTTTTAGAAAATTATAATGATCAGGGAGGAAAAATAGATAACTCTAGACCAGAAACTCATGGCAGTAAGTCAAACAGACTTTGATTTCTTTGTCTAATGCCAAAGAAATGACAGACACTATTCCAATGTTAAGTATATTTTGTAAGAAGAAAGTCTGTTACATTTCTTTTAAAATGATGTATTGAGCACACATTTATATAGAAATACAATAAACTATTACCTCCACTTCTATGAGCCATTTTTTACCAAGATGTTTCCTTTTCTTAGAACCAAAATTTGAGCAAACTGTTACATCTGGCGTGTTGTGTAATGAGTCCTATCAGGCCCAGGGTTCTCTTAATCACATTCAAGTACCATTTGGAAGTACTTCATCTCTGACAAAGTTTAGTGTGCATGTGAGCACATGCATAAGTGTTTTCAACTTCAGAAAATGAGCATTGAAGAGGGATATTGAATAACCCCAAGAGCTTATTAACCAGTGCTCCTTGTCATTTCCTTAAAGAAACACGGCAAGCTGAAGAGCTTCTGTAAGGATGAGTGGAGATAAAGATGTGGAGCATATTGTGTTTAAGAGGAACAGTGTGCTTATTTGTCAGCTCCCAAACGACAGGCTGCTTGCTTTGTACTACTGTTGCTAAAAATATCATGCTTGGCATGGTAGATGCAAAAAAAAAAAATCTGTAGTCTGATTTGGAAAGAATTCAATGAGGTAAAAATGTAACTGGGATCTTTCCCCTTCCACTAACTTTATACTTCCCCTGCTTTCCCTTAGAAATTTGTTTTTCCTTAGGTAGACTCAAAACCCAGGGGCTAATTTATTTAACCCCTTCCATGGTTTTCCATAGTCTGGGTATAGCAAATAAATACCAAGTAAACTCATCAGTAATTACAAATACAGAGGAAACAAATGAAGTAAGTAGAAGGCATATTTTGATTTTCTTGCATTCCTTAAGATGGCACATGTTGTTTTAAAACACAGTTTTTGGTGATAGTTCTATATTTCAGTATGATTTTTTCAAAAAACTGGCATTGTCAAGTTTAAAGATGGCGAAGAAGTTAAAAATCTAGACATTATATCAGATTCTCTGATGGTTACAATGAAACATGCACTTCATACTCTTAATCTGGCTCAATACCATTGTTATCAGCCATCGTTTATGCCGCAGTGGACAGCTTTCTAAATCTCTTTCAGTTAATGGATATTTATGTTTCATCTATGTCAAAGGATAAGCAGATAATCAGGTAAAATAAATTACACAAATATGCAAGAGCCTGAAATCAAAGTAGAGAAGGAGAAAAGCAGGGAAAACTTTTTTTGCTTAATACTTACATAACTTTAAAACCTCCCTGTCCTCTCCTTTTTTCCTTTCTTCCTTTTCTTTCTCAACCAATGTTTATTGAGCACCACCATGTACAAGGCAACAAGCTAGCTGGAGATTCAAGTAATCCTTGTCCTTAAGAAGGTGCTGCAAAGGAGCTGAAAGTACACTTAAAGAGAGACTTTAACAGACAAGGAAAGGCTTTGAGGAGAAGGTACTGCTCCAGTCAAATTTAAAAGGCAAGTTAGAGTTAGATGGGAAATTAGAGTCCTAGGAGAAGAAGAAAAACAGCAAATGCAAAGCCAAAGAGGGGTAAAAGTGTGGGTTGTTTGGTATGAATGGTGATTATGGTTTGTGCCAGAAATAGTAAAAGATAAGGATGGAGAAGTAGGCAGAGGCAGAATCTGTAGGGCTTCCATTCTGAAGGCAGTGGTGAATCAATGAAGGCTTTTAGTCATGGAAAGTGGCATGATTAGATTTTCCTCCTGAAAATACTTCTCTGGCTATAAGGACATCATTCTTGTGTGGGAATAACAGGCTGGGCAACACTGGAAGCAGGGAGACCAATTAGGAGGCCAGTACAGCAATCCAGGCAAGTGAAGATGAGCTCCCATCCCCCAAAACAGGCAAAGCCAGAGGCTTTGTTACTTCTATTTGTGATCACTTCTGTGATTCTTTTAAATAAATTTCCCAAACCTTTCAATATTTACTCCTTCAAAATAAAATCTTATCCCGGATATGTAGGAAAATTCAGAGGATCTACCAAAAAGTTGTTGTGGTGTTGCTGATATCATTTGTCTCCTAGTCTCTCTCCACAAGGAACCAGGTGTTAAATGAAGATTTGGTGAGAAATTGGATGTGAAGCATGAGAAAAAGGGAGGTATCAAAGATGGATGGATGAATGGATGGACAGACATACCAATTTGATAAGTAATTACTAAGCTACAGGTATTATTTTAGGTACCAGGTCCAGGTCCACTAATATTCTTTTTTTTTTTTTTTTTTGTAATTCCAGGATCCCACTTGCATTCAGTTGCTATATCTCCACAGTCTCCTCTAGTCTATAACAATTCCTCAATTTTTCCTCATCTTTTATGTATGACTTTGATACCTCTAAAGAGTACTGATCAGTTATTTTATAGAATGTTCCTCAATATGGGTTTGTCTGAAGTTTTTTCATGATAGAAATTATGCATTTTTGGCAAGACTGCTAAAAAAATAATGTCTGCTTCTCAGCGCATTTTACCAAGGGGTTCATGATGCTGATATGTCTTATATACTGGTGCTGTTTACCTTGACTATTTTGTCAAGTTGGTGTCTGTCAGGTTTCTGTAATATAAAGTTTTACCTTATACTTTGTAAGTACCTTGCTCAAATTTCTACCCATTAATTTTTGCATCCTTTGAGGAATCTTGTCTGCAACATTTATTACTGTGTTATCTGCCTAATAGCAATTCTCTATTTCCCTCTTTCCTTCTAGATTTACTAATTCATTAATTTATTTATTACAATAGTATGAACTCATAGATATTTATTTTATTTTAGGGGCTAAAAAACAATACTATTTTCTTGCTCAAATTGTTTTATCTTTGGTCATTAGGAGCTATTTCAGGCTGGCTCCTGTGGGTTTTCTGACATGTCCCCATCCATCTTTCTTTAAATGTTTCCTTACTTTTTGGCACATGATGTTCAGTCTTGTTTTATATTTTCCCTCCTTTGGGCCTGGAATCCAGCAATCAAACACTTCTTCCTGAAGCCCTGGTTTCTTTTACTGGAAAACTGAGCTCAGAGAGCAAGAACTGGCACTAGAATGCCATTGTTATGGGGGTGTCATTGCTTTAGGCCAGGGAGAGGATTTATTTTTGACATAGAGTCTTGCTCTGTCACCCAGGCTGAAGTATAATGGCGTGATCTTGGCTCACTGCAACCTCCGCCTCCTGGGTTCAAGCGATTCTCCTGCCTCACCCTCCTGAGTAGCTGGGATTACAGGTGCCCGCCACCATGCCCAGCTAATTTTTGTATTTTTTAGTAGAGATAGGGTTTCACCATGTTGGCTGGGCTGGTCTCGAACTCCTGACATCAGGTGATCCACCCACCTCGGCCTCCCAAAGTGCTGGGATTACAGGCATGAGCCAGCATGCCCAGCCTGGGGAGAGGATATTTTAAAGATAGGTTGGTCAGGGAAAGCCTTTCTGAGAAGGTCATTCAAGCAGACTTAAAAAAAGTGAAGTAGGGAACAATGCAAGGAATACTAGTTGTACTAGTATTACTGTACTATAGGGTACAGTAGGTGCAAGTCACTGAAGTAAGAACATGGTTGGCAAGCAACAGCAAGATGATGAAGGTGGTTGCAGCTCGGTGGGCTAGGGGGAAAGTGCTAGGGAATGAGTTGTGAGAGTAGACAGGAGCTTTGTAAGTCAGAGTAAATAGTACGGATTTTAATGAGAAGCCACTGGCGTGTTCTGAGCGGGGGAGTAGCATAATCTGATTTACTTCATGATAAAGGATTACTTTGAATGGTGTATGGCAAACAAGTGTGGGTAGACAATTTAGGAGGCTACTGTAGCAGCCTTTGTGAGAAGTGGATGATAGCAAGATATGATGGGGATTAGGCTCACAATTATAGCAGCAGAGGTGGTAAGAAGTGGCTAGATTTGGGGCATGTGTGTATTTACGTAGAAATACTTCAAACATATAGAAAACTCAGAAAATAACATTAATTAAAGCACCCATGTACTCATCACTAAACTTTATTGCCTTCTAACATTTGGTCACACTTGCTTCAGAATAAAAGAATAGTGAAGATTCCTGTGTATCTCTCCACTACTCCATACCTCTCTAGAGGTAAGCACTGAAGTAAATTTGACATCTATTTTTCTCATGGACAATTTTGAATCACTACTAGATATATGTATATACATAAATAATGAATAATGTTATTTTACATGTTTAAAATTTAATAAATTTCATACAAATGCAATCATAATGCATGTATCATTTTGTAACTTATCTCATATTTTTCTGTTTCACAAAAAATGCTATATTCAACATTCTTTTACTTTTCTTCTTATTTATGTGCTGAAGTTGTTCTAGAGTGTATATCCACAAGTGGAATTTCCTGGTCAAAAAACATCCACGGTATCCATATTACAAGTTATTGCCAACTTTTTCTGAGAAGCAGTTGTAACAATTTACACAACCATCAGTAGAGTATGAAAGTTCCTGTTTCTCTTACTTCTTTGCCAACTTACTTGACTCCCAGGCTTTAGAAAATATACCAATTTGATGGGTATGACATGATAGTTGTTATTTTAATTTGCATTGTCCTAGGCAGAGGGAATAGCAATATCAAGGCCCTGAGGAGGTAGTTTGCTGGGTGAATCCAGGAATAGTGAGGAGGCCAGCACATCTGAAGATAAGTAAGTAAACAGGAGATGAAGAAAGACATAAAGTAGAGGGCAAAATCACATAAGTCTTGTAAGTCACTTGAAAGACTTCAGCTTTTCTACAGAGTGATTTGGAAAGCTAATGCAGATCTCTTTTGGTAAGCAGACGACATGAGTTGATAAATAATCATTAGCTATTATTATTATATTTTCTAGTTAGGTATAGTAAGACTGCTAAATGTAGTGTATTAATTCAATGGTGCTAGTAATAGCTCATACTTATGCACTTGCAACGCACCAGGTACTTTACATTGGTTAATCTTCTCGATGACCCTTATACAGATGAGTAAACCGTAATATAGACAGGCTAAGTAAGGTTAGTTATAGGAATACCAAGTCCTAGGTCTCAGGTCCTGAATCTGGCAACCTTGTTGAATTCTGTTTGCAGATTCTCTTGGCTATAGATATGGACAGTTTGGTATTGTTCTTTCCAGTTCTTTTTTTTTTTTTTTTTTTGAGATGGAGTCTCACTCTGTCGTCCAGGCTGGAGTTCAGTGGCGCGATCCCAGCTCACTGCAAGCTCCGCCCCCCGGGTTCATGCCATTCTCCTGCCTCAGCCTCCCGAGTAGCTGGGACTACAGGCGCCCACCACCATGCCCGGCTAATTTTTTGTATTTTTAGTAGAGACGGGGTTTCACCGTGTTAGCCAGGATGGTCTCGATCTCCTGACCTCGTGATCCGTCCGCCTCGGCCTCCCAAAGTGCTGGGATTACAGACGTGAGCCACCGCACCCGGCCTTCCAGTTTTTATAATACTTGCTTCTTTCCCATTAGGGAGTTATTAAAATGGTTAGCATCTCTAGTAACAATGCAAAATAGACCCTGAGAGAGTGGACATTCTTACTCCTGACTTTAGTAGAAATATTTCCAAAAATTTATCATTAAGAAAAATATATTCTCTTTGTTCCTGATGGTGACTAAGAAAAATATATTTTCTTTGTCCCTGATGGTGACCCTTTATCAGGATAGGAACTTTTCTTCTATGCTGTTTCCTAGGAAATTTGTTTTTTAAAATTACTAAGAACAAGTGCTAAGTTATATCAAGTACATTTCTACATTGTGATGTTGAATCATTCCTGTTTTTGTGAGAAATCTTATCTAGTAGTAGCAATAGTAGCAGTGTGTGTGAGTGTGTGTGTGAATAAACTGCCAAATTCCACCTGACACTGTTCTATTTAGAATTTTTTTTCTATCTGCAATAGTGAGACTGATGAACAGTTTCCTTTTCCCGTATTATCCCTATCTAGTTTTGATAATACTACTTTAATAAAATTAGTTGAATAGCTTTTTTTCCCTCAGTTTTCTTACACAGCTTTTACAAGAGGGATTACATGAAGTTGTAATAAAGTTATGTAGATTTTGTACCTTTTTTGTGGGGAAGATTTTTGATAGATCTGGCATATTGTAAAGGGTAGCATTGACAGGACTTGTTAGACTGGAGGTGAGGAGTCAATGAGAGGATGACTTCTAGGTTAGTAGCTTATGTGGTTGGCATTTTTAGGTACCAGGCATTGAGACAGGGAACATTAGAGTAGGAGATGGGTGAAAAGGCGATTAATTAAGTTTTAGACATGTTTAAGTTTCTTTGGAATCATCAAATGGTGATGTCCAAGTTGTTGGGGTTCAGAAAAGAGGGTATGCTTGAGATAGAGCCTCAGGTCCATGGTTCATTGATTCACCTCATTTCATTCATTCAAAAAATATTTGTTGAGTGTCTATTCAATGTCAAACTCTGAGTATGCTGTTTTTTTCCTCATCTTCCCAGTTCAGCCTTTCTGAAAGGGATGAAGCCATTTTTTCACCCTATATGGTACTAATGGCAACTGTGTTTCCTGTGTATCTCTTGTCTGACAGTAAAGTTTTGGTTCCTTCTTCCTCTCCCACATTTTTCAGAAAGTAGAGTTGGGAGAGGACACATGGTTGATGAGGGCTCGAAAGAAGATTGTATGTATCGTTTGAAATTAGTTTTTAAGTTGGAAAAGTGCTGGACATATGTAGAGGCTTGATGCATGAAATAAATTAAGCCCTTAAAAGAACTTTAGGCTTTGTTCTTGGATACGGCCATAGTCAGCTTTACAAATTGGTGCCAAGGCCAATTTCTACCAGTGAACTTGTTAGAAAGTCATCATTTAAAACACACATATTAATTTGAGTTGAGAGAAGGTTTAGAATGTGTATTGTATGTACTTCTCTAGGACTTAATCCTCTCACACATGAAATAAGTTTAGGACTTGGTGATATCCTAGGTTCTTTCAGACTTTAACATTTTATAGTCTATATGCAAAGATACTGAAAATGAGGTGTTAAATACTGGAGCCTGAAGAATTCTCTTCTGTGGAGGTTAAGAAAAGGAATGTTTCTTCTGCACATTTCAGTTAAATGCATGTCTGCCTATAGGCTGGAGAAGGGAAAGGTGAATCATGAATAGAATACAGTGAACTAAGCCTGGACATGGAGCTGAACAGTTAGGGAGATCACAGGGAATAACAACAAAAGCCTGAATTTCACCACAGAAGACATTTAAATGAGCCCTGTAAGAAACACACTATCAGGAAGATATTCTGGCTGGAAGGAGAAATCAGAAATTCCACATTTCTTACTGTTTCAGGGCTCTGAGGAATTGGGTAGGCAGGAGAACATGTAAAAAAAACCAAAAACAATTAAAAACACAACACTTTTTATGGAAGAAAACATCTATGGAAGTAAACTGAGCAACAGTACAAGGACAACATGTCACATCCATCTAGGTCAGGTTGTAACTTCAGGCAAGACAATCAAGGACTCTGACAACCTTTGACTGCATCCCAGGTAGCCTGAGGGAAAGACCACCGTGACAGGGAAGAGAGATGGTTTTTACTGTGAATGAGGTAATCATGTACTAAAAAGAAAGTAGTTACTTTTCCTGAAAGCTTCATTGTTCTGAAAAACCTCAAGAAGTTTCTCCAGAGTTTAGAAAAAGCCTCACCACAACTCTTGAGAGCTATGCTACCCACACTGAGGCTGATTTCCATTACCAATCTGTACTCCCTTCCTTGGGGTGATATTCTGCCAGCAACAAAGTTGGAAGAATAACTACCAAGCAAACCATATGCTTCCAGGAAATACTTCTATCAGTATTATAAAAGTTGGCCGGGCGTGGTGGCTCACACCTATAGTCCCAGCACTTTGGGAGGCCGAGGCAGGCAGATCACAAGGTCAGAAGATTGAGACCATCCTGGCTAACACGGTGAAACCCCGTCTCTAGTAAAAAATACAAAAAAAAAAAAAATTAGCTGGGCACGGTGGTGGGCACCTGTAGTCCCAGCTACTCAGGAGGCTGAGGCAGGAGAATGGCGTGAACCTGGGAGGCGGAGCTTGCAGTGAGCCGAGATCACGCCACTGCACTCCAGCCTGGGCGACAGAGCGAGACTCCGTCTCAAAAAAAAAAAAAAAAATGTCATAAAGGTTCAGAGATGCTGACAGGGAATAAAGCTGCTTAAATGGCTCTGAGCATGTTCAAGAAATGCATCTATTTAGTTTTATTTAGTTTTATTTTCTAGTTACAGGAATTACTATCTATGTGGTTATATTTATGTATTTATTTTTTTCAGTATTTCTCCCTGCTCCTTTTCTCCCACAATTCCTTTCTTTTTACCTATACTCCACAGAGACTTAGTTTAAATACAAGGAAAAGCCTTTAAATTCCAATGATATAGTATACATAGAAGTTAAATAATCGATGTTTTAAAGATCATTGGTTAAAATTAGAAATCACTGACAGAGGAAGTAATTTGGAGTAACAGTTGTATGAATATGTGTAAAAGACTTAAGGTCCAAGTTGCTGGGGGAAATATCATTTAGAAAAGTCAGTGTGACTGTATAGGGCCATATATAACAGCTGCATCTTTAATCAGTTTTTCCGTACTCTCTATAACTAATCTGTGTCCAAATTTTGTTACCTGTTGAAAGGGACTTTTACGTGTCTCTTTCCTTCCCCACTTTTACTAGAGTTTTCTGATGCTTTCATAAACTCACACTTAAGATAACTGCATCCCTGACTTTTCTCTGCCTCCATGAATATGTCCTGTGCATTTCTTCCACAGTAATGTTTACTAAATGCTGTTTTTTAGCATATCACACAGAACCTAAAGTGTTTCTCTACATCGTCTATGGCTTTCAAGGCATTCCATAAGTCATCCCCATCTCAGTTATTTTCCCCAGTACAAACTTTCTTCTCTCAGGCCAGATTCTATACTGTTTCTAGATATGCAACTGGCATTCATACCTCCTTGCTTTGACTTATGATTTTCTTATCAGGAAGATCTTCCTCTTTTAGCCTTATACTAATGAACTTAATTATATCATACTTCAAAGTTTGGCCACATCCTAGCACTGTCCTCATTCTAGACCTAAACACCTTAACTTGCTGAGCTATAATCACAGACTATTCTGCAAAATTTTACTTTATTTGATACAGATGGGGTCTTGCTATGTCCACCAGGCTGGTCTTGAACTCCTGGCCTCAAGTGATCCTCACACCTTGGCCTCCCAAAGTGCTGTGGTTACAGGTGTGAGCCACTGCACCTGGCCTCTGCACAATTTTGTTTCATGTCTACTAGCCTTTTCTGTCATATTATAATGTAAGCTCACTTAAGGTAGAAGAGACAGTCAGATATATGGGGGAAAAAGACACCAATAATAGTCATAGTTTAGTGTTTAGTAAAGTAAATGTCAAGTAGAAATCTATGCTATAAGACCTTGGTTTACGACCAGGTGTGGTGGCTCACGCCTGTAATCCCAGCACTTTGGGAGGCTGGGGTGGGCAGATCACCTGAGGTCAGGAGTTCAAGACCAGCCTGGTCAACATGGTGAAACCCCGTCTCTACTAAAAATACAAAAATTAGCTGGGCATAGTGGCGTGCGCCTGTAGTCCCAGCTACTGGGGAAGCTGAGGCAGGAAAATAGCGTGAACCTGAGAGGCGGAGGTTGCAGTGAGCTGAGGTTGCACCACTGCATTCCAGCTTGGGCAACAGAATGAGATTCCATCTCAAAAAAAAAAAAAAAAAAAGATCTTGGTTTACTGTGCTGTTAGAGCAACCTGTTTAAATGTATAAGAGGAAGACTTAATAACATTAACCACTACTGTGAGGGAACATAACTACGAATCTGCCCATTGCAGAAAAAGGAAACAATTGGAGGATGTTCTAAAATTATCTTCAGCTGCTTATCTCTAAAAGAAACTGTAATCTACAATTGTAAAATATTCTGTTTTGCATATTCTTATAAGAGCTCTTTTTTGGACATAGTCCAAACATAATTTTAAGTAATAGTTTTTAAGCTTTAATATGCTTTGTCTTTTAGAAAAGTTGTTTGGCACTAAACACTAAAAAGGCTTTCATGACTTGACACTAACTTATCTTCCAATTTTACTTTCTACTACCTGTCTGCTAGGTTGCTTGCAAAAATCATTAATCATTTGTTAAATAAGTGAATCTCTGTTGCCACACACTACAGAGCACACTACAAAGAGAAGCAGCCAAGTTCAGAGGCTTTGTCCTTGTGACATTTTATTTGGAGTCATATTTAAAACCACTGCTGCTTTTCTCTGACCATGGTGATTACTACTGATGTCATGTCTCTCCAGAGTGGTAGCCACGTTGCCTTTTCAATGTATCTCAGTTTTGGCTGTCTGAAGGATGACTGCCTATCTCTTTTGGGTGACCACAGGTTGCCCAAAGTGAATTTTATATAGGCTATGAAACTAATATATTGTGAGTATCTCAAATGTATTCTACACATTTTATAAAATTCCATCTAGTCCTTTTCCCCCAATTTGGTAACAGAGAGAAATTTACCTTCTTTTATGTAACTTAAACCTCTTCCCCTCCACCCTCCCCTCTCCACACTTTATGGTTCTATAGTCTACTTCTATTCCTCTGCTTCCTCTAAGATGGGGATCATTCTTTAAGTTCTCTTAAGCTAATTATATGGAGCCCTCACATCACCCTTCCTAAGAGCCTCCACTTGGCCCCAGATCTCATACTCTCTAATGTCATATTAACTTTTTTTCCAAAAGTTAAAACACAAGGACTGTCTGTTTTGCATTAGAATTAACACTTGTATTCTCTCTTTCCATGTCTTCCCCTATTTGACTGTAAGTTCATTAAAAAGAGAAGGTTATACCATTTTTATCTTTCTCTCTCTACACTCATTTTTCAAATTAGGGCTTGCACAGTCAGTGACACAGACACACACAAACACACACACACACACACACAGTGTTAGTCTGGTTAAAATGAATAGCATATATATTTAAAAGTCTGAAAATAAAAGAAAATCTATCATATGCTTCCCCAACTCACTAAAAGTCCTAATTTGTTTTATTTTTTATTTTTTTCACTTTTTAAAAAAATTATTATTATTATTATACTTTAAGTTTTAGGGTACATGTGCACAACGTGCAGGTTTGTTACATATGTATACGTGTGCCATGTTGGTGTGCTGCACCCATTAACTCGTCATTTAGCATTAGGTATATCTCCTAATGCTATCCCTCCCCCCTCCACCGACCCCACAACAGTCCCCGGTGTGTGATGTTCCCCTTCCTGTGTCCATGTGTTCTCACTGTTCAATTCCCACCTATGAGTGAGAACATGTGGTGTTTGGTTTTTTGTCCTTGCGATAGTTTGCCAAGAATGATGGTATCCAGTTTCATCCATGTCCCTACAAAGGACATGAACTCATCATTTTTTATGGCTGCATAGCATTCCATGATGTATATGTGCCACATTTTCTTCATCCAGTCTATTGTTGTTGGACATTTACGTTGGTTCCAAGTATTTGCTATTGTGAATAGTGACGCAATAAACACACGTGTGCATGTGTCTTTATAGCAGCATGATTTATAATCCTTTGGGTATATACCCAGTAATGGGATGGCTGGGTCAAATGGTATTTCTAGTTCTAGATCCGTGAGGAATCACCACACTGACTTCCACAATGGTTGAACTAGTTTACAGTCCCACCAACAGTGTAAAAGTGTTCCTATTTCTCCACATCCTCTCCAACACCTGTTATTTCCTGACTTTTTAATGACCGCCATTCTAACTGGTGTGAGATGGTATCTCATTGTGGTTTTGATTTGCATTTCTCTGATGGCCAGTGATGATGAGCATTTTTTCATGTGTTTTTTGGCTGCATAAATGTCTTCTTTTGAGAAGTGTCTGTTCAGATCCTTTGCCCACTTTTTGATGAGGTTGTTTTTTTCTTGTAAATTTGTTTGAGTTCATTGTAGATTCTGGATATCAGCCCTTTGTCAGATGAGTAGGTTGCAAAAATTTTCTCCCATTCTGTAGGTTGCCTGTTCACTCTGATGGTAGTTTCTTTTGCTGTGCAGAAGTTCTTTAGTTTAATTAGATCCCATTTGTCAATTTTGGCTTTTGTTGCCATTGCTTTTGGTGTTTTAGACATGAAGTCCTTGCCCATGCTTATGTCCTGAATGATATTGCCTAGGTTTTCTTCTAGGGTTTTTGTGGTTTTAGATCTAACATTTAAGTCTTTAATCCATCTTGAATTAATTTTTGTATAAGGTGTAAGGAAGGGATCCAGTTTCAGCTTTCTACATATGGCTAGCCAGTTTTCCCAGCACCATTTATTAAATAGGGAATCCTTTCCCCATTGCTTGTTTTTGTCAGATTTGTCAAAGATCAGATAGTTGTTGATGTGTGGTATTATTTCTGAGGGCTCTGTTCTGTTCCATTGGTCTATATCTCTGTTTTGGTACCAGTACCATGCTGTTTTGGTTACTGTAGCCTTGTGGTATAGTTTGAAGTCAGGTAGCATGATGCCTCCAGCTTTGTTCTTTTGGCTTAGGATTGACTTGGCGAAGTGGGCTCTTTTTTGGTTCCACATGAACTGTAAAGTAGTTTTTTCCAATTCTGTGAAGAAAGTCATTGGTAGCTTGATGGGGATGGCATTGAATCTATAAATTACCTTGGGCAGTATGGCCATTTTCACAATATTGATTCTTCCTACCCATGAGCATGGAATGTTCTTCCATTTGTTTGTATCCTCTTTTATTTCATTGAGCAGTGGTTTGTAGTTCTCCTTGAAGAGGTCCTTGACATCCCTTGTAAGTTGGATTCCTAGGTATTTTATTCTCTTTGAAGCAGTTGTGAATGGGAGTTCACTCATGATTTGGCTCTCTGTTTGTCTGTTAATGGTGTATAAGAATGCTTGTGAGTTTTGCACATTGATTTTGTATCCTGAGACTTTGCTGAAGTTGCTTATCAGCTTGAGGAGATTTTGGGCTGAGACGATGGGGTTTTCTAGATATACAATCATGTCATCTGCAAACAGGGACAATTTGACTTCCTCTTTTCCTAATTGAATACCCTTTATTTCCTTCCCCTGCCTGAGTGCCCTGGCCAGAACTTCCAACACTATGTTGAATAGGAGTGGTGAGAGAGGGCATCCCTGTCTTGTGCCAGTTTTCAAAGGGAATGCTTCCAGTTTTTGCCCATTCAGTATGATATTGGCTGTGGGTTTGTCATAGATAGCTCTTATTATTTTGAGATACGTCCCATCAATACCTAATTTATTGAGAGTTTTTAGCATGAAGCATTGTTGAATTTTGTCAAAGGCCTTCTCTGCATCTATTGAGATAATCATGTGGTTTTTGTCTTTGGTTCTGTTTAAATGCAGAATTACATTTATTGATTTGCGTATGTTGAACCAGCCTTGCATCCCAGGGATGAAGCCCACTTGATCATGGTGGATAAGCTTTTTGATGTGCTGCTGGATTCAGTTTGCCAGTATTTTATTGAGGATTTTTGCATCAATGTTCATCAAGGATATTGGTCAAAATTCTTTTTTTGTTGTGTCTCTGCCAGGCTTTGGTATCAGGATGATGCTGGCCTCATAAAATGAGTTAGGGAGGATTCTCTCTTTTTCTATTGATTGGAATAGTTTCAGAAGGAATAGTACCAGCTCCTCCTTGTACCTCTGGTAGAATTCGGCTGTGAATCCATCTGATCCTGAGCTTTTTTTGGTTGGTAAGCTATTGATTATTGCCTCAATTTCAGAGCCTGTTATTGGTCTATTCAGAGATTCAACTTCTTCCTGGTTTAGTCTTGGGTGGATGTACGTGTTGAGGAATTTATCCATTTCTTCCAGATTTTCTAGTTTATTTGCATAGAGGTGTTTATAGTATTCTCTGATGGTAGTTTGTATTTCTGTGGGATCGGTGGTGATATCCCCTTTATCATTTTTTATTGCGTCTATTTGATTCTTCTCTCTTTTCTTCTTTATTGGTCTTGCTAGTGGTCTACCAATTTTGTTGAGCTTTTCAAAAAACCAGCTCCTGGACTCATTAATTTTTTGAAGGGTTTTTTGTGTCTCTATTTCCTTCAGTTCTGCTCTAAGTTATTTCTTGCCTTCTGCTAGCTTTTGAATGTGTTTGCTCTTGCTTTTCTAGCTCTTTAATTGTGATGTTAGGGTGTCAATTTTAGATCTTTCCTGCTTTCTTTTGTGGGCATTTAGTGCTATAAATTTCCCTCTACACACTGCTTTGAATGTGTCCCAGAGATTCTGGTATGTTGTGTCTTTGTTCTCGTTGGTTGCAAAGAACATCTTTATTTCTGCCTTCATTTCGTTATGTACCCAGTAGTCATTCAGGAGCAGGTTGTTCAGTTTCCATGTAGTTGAGCGGTTTTGAGTGAGTTTCTTAATCCTGAGTTCTAGTTTTATTGCACTGTGGTCTGAGAGACAGTTTGTTATAATTTATGTTCTTTTACATTTGCTAAGGAATGCTTTACTTCCAACTATGTGGTCAATTTTGGAGTAGGTGTGGTGTGGTGCTGAAAAGAATGTATATTCTGTTGATTTGGGGTGGACAGTTCTGTAGATGTCTATTAGGTCCACTTGGTGCAGAGCTGAGTTCAATTCCTGGGTATCCTTGTTAACTTTCTGTCTCGCTGATCTGTCTAATGTTGATAGTGGGGTGTTAAAGTCTCCCATTATTATTGTGTGGGAGTCTAAGTCTCTTTGTAGGTCACTAAGGACTTGCTTTATGAATCTGGGTGCTCCTGTATTGGGAACATATATATTTGGGATAGTTAGCTCTTCTTGTTGAATTGATCCCTTTACCATTATGTAATGGTCTTGTCTCTTTTGGTCTTTGTTGGTTTAAAGTCTGTTTTATCAGAGAGTAGGATTGCAACCCCTGCCTTTTTTTGTTTTCCATTTGCTTGGTAGATCTTCCTCCACCCCTTTATTTTGAGCCTATGTGTGTCTCTGCATGTGAGATGGGTTTCCTGAATACGGCACACTGATGGGTCTTGACTCTTTATCCATTTTGCCAGTCTGTGTCTTTTAATTGGAGCATTTAGCCCATTTACATTTAAAGTTAATATTGTTATGTGTGAATTTGATCCTGTCATTATGATGTTAGCTGGTTATTTTGCTTGATACTTGATGCAGTTTCTTCCTAGCCTTGATGGTCTTTACAATTTGGCATGTTTTTGCAGTGGCTCGTACTGGTTGATCCTTTCCATGTTTAGTGCTTCCTTCAGGAGCTCTTTTAGGGCAGGCCTGGTGGTGACAAAATCTCTCAGCATTTGTTTGTTTGTAAAGTATTTTATTTCTCCTTCACTTATGAAGCTTAGTTTAGCTGGATATGAGATTCTGGGTTGAAAATTCTTTTCTTTAAGAAAGTTGAATATTGGCCCCCACTCTCTTCTGGCTTGTAGAGTTTCTGCAGAGAGATCAGCCGTTAGTCTGATGGGCTTCCCTTTGTGGGTAACCCGACCTTTCTCTCTGGCTGCCCTTAACATTTTTTCCTTCATTTCAACTTTGATGAATCTGACAATTATGTGTCTTGAGACATACTGCTCTTCTGAAGGAGTATCTTTGTGGCTTTCTCTGTATTTCCTGAATTTGAATGATGGCCTGCCTTGCTAGATTGGGGAAGTTCTCCTGGATAATATCCTGCAGAGTGTTTTCCAACTTGGTTCCATTCTCACCGTCACTTTCAGGTACACCAATCAGACGTAGTTTTGGTCTTTTCACATAGTCCCATATTTCTTGTAGGCTTTGTTCGTTTCTTTTCATTCTTTTTTCTCTAAACTTTTCTTCTCGCTTCATTTCATTCATTTCATCTTCCATCACTGATACCCTTTCTTCCAGTTAATCGCATCGGCTACTGAGGCTTCTGCATTCGTCATGTAGCTCTTGTGCCTTGGTTTTCAGCTCTATCAGGTGATTTAAGGACTTTTCTGCGTTGGTTAGTCTAGTTATCCATTCATCTAATTTTTTTTCAAAGCTTTTAACTTCTTTGCCATTGGTTCGAATTTCCTCCTGTAGCTCGGAGTAGTTTGATCGTCTGAAGCCTTCTTCTCTCAACTCGTCAGAGTCATTCTCTGTCCAGCTTTGTTCCGTTGCTGGTGAGGAGCTGCGTTCCTTTGCAGAAGGAGAGGCGCTGTGATTTTTAGAGTTTCCAGTTTTTCTGCTCTGTTTTATTCCCATCTTTGTGGTTTTATCTACCTTTGGTCTTTGATGATGGTGACGTACAGATGGGTTTTTGGTGTTGATGTCCTTTCTGTTTGTTAGTTTTCCTTCTAACAGACAGGACCCTCAGCTGTAGGTCTGTTGGAGTTTGCTAGAGGTCCACTCCAGACCCTGTTTGCCTGGGTATCAGCAGCGGTGGCTGCAGAACAGTGGATATTGGTGAACTGCAGATGCTGCTGTCTGATAGTTCCTCTGGAAGTTTTGTCTCAGAGGAGTACCCGGCTGTGTGAGGTGTCAGTCCGCCCCTACTGGGGGGTGTCTCCCAGTTAGGCTACTCGGGGGTCAGGGACCCACTTGAGGAGGCAGTCTGCCCATTCTCAGATCTCAAGCTGCGTGCTGGGAGAACCACTGCTCTCTTCAAAGCTGTCAGACAGGGACATTTACGTCTGCAGAGGTTACTGCTGTCTTTTTGTTTGTCTGTGCCCTGCCCCCAGAGGTGGAGCCTACAGAGGCAGGCAGGCCTCCTTTAGCTCTGGTGGGCTCCACCCAGTTCCAGCTTACCGGCCGCTTTGTTTACCTAATCAAACAACTAACTCGGCTATGGCGGGCGCCCCTCCCCTAGCCTCGCTGCCACCTTGCAGTTTGATCTCGGACTGCTGTGCTAGCAATAAGCGAGACTCCATGGGCGTAGGACCCTCCGAGACAGGTACGGGATATAATCTCCTGGTGTGCCACTTTTTAAGCCCATTGGAAAAGTGCAGTATTAGGGTGGGAGTGACCCGATTTTCCAGGTGCCGTCTGTCACCGCTTTCTTTGACTAGGAAAGGGAATTCCCTGACCCCTTGCACTTCCCGGGTGAGGCGATGCCTCGCCCTGCTTCGGCTCACGCACGGTGCGCTGCACCCACTGTCCTGCACCTACTGTCTGGCACTCCCCAGTGAGATGAACCTGGTACCTCAGTTGGAAATGCAGAAATCACCCGTCTTCTGCATCACTCACGCTGGGAGCTGTAGACCGGAGCTGTTCCTATTCGGCCATCTTGGCTCCTCCCCCAAATTTGTTTTATTAAAAGAAATAAAGATCATCAACCTCAAATTCTGTTTTCCTGTTTCACATTTGTTGGCAGTATAGAAACTACTGAAGTTGCTGAAAATGCATCATAAACTAAAGCAATACTCATATTCTATTCAACTCAACTATGACTAACATTTCGATAATATTAATATCTGCTTATGCAAAAGTTAGGAACAGCCCAGCCTGCCTCTATTATTCAGGCACCACAGACTTAATTGCATCTAAATGATTCAGGATAAAACACACATCAAACTGTTTTGCTGAAATCAACTTATGTAGTTGTACAGTTATTGTGTACTATTAAACAGTTGGCACATTTCACATCTTTGGCATGTAAAAGCCAATTGGGTGTAGACTTATGTTGTTTAAATGATGCCAATGTGTACTTCTCACCTTCTTAAATATATCAAAATTCCTTAGCATGCCAAACAAAATCTATCCTCTGGGACTAAAATGTGCCAGCAGTTGAATGGTACATGGAAGCATTACTGGAAAAACTTGAGAGGAGAAAAAAACCCTTTTCCCTGTAACAGACTAAGGTCTCATAAGTGAAAATGAATTACAGCTCTGGAAATTATCTGACGAACTCTAGGCCTGACAGCCAAACCAGATAATTCAGTACAAATTTTAAAATGATTGCTATATAGTTTTTTCAACTGTATAACCTCTGACTATAAAACTACCTTTCTTAAAGCTTCTCTTGGCAACCGTGTTTGCTGATTTAAAGCTTCAGAGCAAAGCATGTCTATGAATTTAGAGAGAAAAAAATTTCTTGATTATCATCTTCAGAATTGGAGTGATGGCAGTAATGCTTAAGCAAATGGGGACTCTATGAGTAAATATTCTGATAAATAGGTAAATATGTTCTGTACATAAGAAATAAATGGAAAGGTTGATGCCAGTAATGGAAATTATGGACTTCCTTGTGGTCTGACAATTGTGTGCTTGCTTTGTGCTTGAGAGGAGGTTTAGTGTGTAATAAACATAACCTAAGATATTTGTAGGTAAACATATGGTATATGAATATCACTACTTATTGGTATTTTAAACTTGGTCTTTTAAAACTCATGCATTTCACACTTTTAAAATAATGGCAATATAGCATGAATCTTAACATGAGATTCTGTAAATTAATCATTATTACCAAAATAAAAATCCTAACTATAAAGAGTACTAGATTGTACTTTAAAGTTTTTCACTATTAATAACCTTACACACCAACAAAAAACACTGGAAGAAGTATTCTGAAATTATTGTACATGTCAAGGAAACAAATTCCATAGCGTGTCTACCATGGGAAAATCATACTTGAAATAGCCCTAAGACAGAACAAATCACAAATAAAAAGTGCTATACAACATAGATCCACAGTGAAGAAAACAATTCCTCTGACATCCATAATAAATATCAGTCTCACACTTTGAAAATGAACATATAAGCAGACTTAGTAAAAGCTGCATTTCAATTAATTATAGTCATGTATACTTTCCAGAAATGTTTAGTCTCAGAGAATTTTAATTGTGTCACTACACTTTTATTGGTTTTGTCTTTTTCAATACAAATCTGTCTCATCCTAACATTCCCCATTTGTCATGAGAATATTGGTGTATGAGATCAAAATAGCTAGATTTCTCTTTTAAAAAAATTGGGGTAAAAAACACATAACATGAGATCTACACTCTTAATGACTTTTTAGGTGTGCAGCATAGTATTGTGAACTACAGCTACAATGTTGTACACAGATCTCTAGAACTTATGCAATTGCATGACTGAAACTTTATACTCATTGAACAGCAACGCCTCATTTTCCCTCCTTTCAGTCTCTGGCTACCACTATTTTATTTTCTGCTTTTGACTGTTTGACTGTTTTAAATGCTCATATATGTAGAATCATGCAATATTTGCCTTTCTGTGACTGGCTTATTTTATTTAGCATAATGTCCTCAAGATTCATCCATGCTGCAGAATATGTTATAATTTCTTTTTTTTTTTGAGACAAGGTCTCACTCTGTTGCCCAGGCTATAGTACAGTGGCACGATCTCCGCTCACTGAGACCTCGACCCGCAGGCTCAGGCTCAAGCAATCCTCCCACCTCCACCTCCCCCGGCGCTGAGACTATAGGCGCATTCCACCATGCTCGGCAAACTTTTGTATTTTTTGTAGAGATGGGGTTTTGCCATGTTGCCCAGGCTTGTTTCGAACTCGTAGCCTCAAGCAATCCACCAGCCTTAGCCCCCCGCAGTGTGCTGGGATTATAGGCGTCGGCCACTATGCCTGGCTTTTTTGTTTTTTATTTTTATTTATTCATTTATTTTTTTTTGAGACAGGATCTCACTCTGTTCCCCAGGCTGGCGTACAGTGGTGTAATCACAGCTCACTGCAGCCTTGAACCACGGCCCAAGCAATTCTTCCACCTCAGCCTCCTGAGTAGCTGGGACTACAGGCATGCATCACCATGCCTGGCTAAGTATTAATTTTTTTTTTTTTTTTTTTTTTTTTGGTAGAGATGGGGTTTTGCCATGTTGCCCAGAATGATCTCGAACTCCTGGCTCAAGCAATCTTCCTGTCTTGGTCTCCCAAAGTGCTGGAATTACAGGCTTGAGCCACCGTGCCTGGCTGGATTTCCTTCTTTATTAAGGCTGGATAATATTTCATTATACATATATACCACATTTATCTGTTGATGGACATTCAGGTTCCTCTCACCTCTTGGCTATTATGGATAATGTTGCTATGAACATGGCAGTGTAAAATATCTCTTCAAGATCCTGGTTTCAATTCTTTTGCATAAATAGCCAGAAGTCGAATTGCTGCATCATATGTAAATTCTATTTAATTTTTTGAGGAACCTCCACACTGTTTTCCACAGTGGCTATACATTTTACATTTCCACCAATAATGCACAAGAGTTACCATCCTTGTCAACACTTATTTTCCAGGTGTGAGATAATCTTATTATGATTTTGATTTGCATTTCCTCCTTGACTATTGTGATTCTGAGTTTTTCCTATACGTTTTGGCCATTTGTATGTCTTCTTTGAAGAAATGTCGATTCAAGTCCTTTGCCCATTTTTGAATTGGGTTATTTATCTGTTTGTTGTTATTCAGTTATAGGCGTTCTCTATATATTTTGGATGTTAATCCCTTAACAGATATATGGTTTACAGATTTGCAAGTATTTTCTCCCAGTCTGTAGGCCACCTTAATTGCTTCCTTTGTGGTGCAGAAGCTTTTATTTTTTATTTTTATTTTATTTTATTATTATTATACTTTAAGTTTTAGGGTACATGTGCACAATGTGCAGGTTTGTTACATACGTATACATGTGCCATGTTGGTGTGCTGCACTCATTAACTTGTCATTTAGCATTAGGTATATCTCCTAATGCTATCCCTCCCCACTCCCCCTACCCCACAACAGGCCCCAGTGTGTGATGTTCCCCTTCCTGTGTCCATGTGTTCTCATAGTTCAATTCCCACCTATGAGTGAGAACATGCAGTGTTTGGTTTTTTGTCCTTGCAATAGTTTGCTGAGAATGATGGTTTCCAGCTTCATCCATGTCTCTACAAAGGACATGAACTCATCATTTTTTTATGGCTGCATAGTATTCCATGATGTATATGTGCCACATTTTCTTCGTCCAGTCTATCATTGTTGGACATTTGGGTTGGTTCCAAGTCTTTGCTATTGTGAATAGTGCTGCAATAAACATACGTGTGCATGTGTCTTTATAGCAGCATGCTTTGTAATCCTTTAGGTATATACCCAGTAATGGGATGGCTGGGTCAAATGGTATTTCTAGTTCTAGATCCCTAAGGAATCGCCACACTGACTTCCACAATGGTTGAACTAGTTTACAGTCCCACCAACAGTGTAAAAGTATTCCTATTTCTCCACATCCTCTCCAGCACCTGACTTTTTAATGACCGCCATTCTAACTGGTGTGAGATGGTATCTCATTGTGGTTTTGATTTGCATTTCTCTGATGGCCAGTGATGATGAGCATTTTCTCATGTGTCTTCTGGCTGCATAAATGTCTTCTTTTGAGAAGTGTCTGTTCAGATCCTTTGCCCACTTTTTGATGAGGTTGTTTATTTTTTTCTTGTAAATTTGTTTGAGTTCATTGTAGACTCTGTATATTAGCCCTTTGTCAGATGAGTAGGTTGCAAAAATTTTCTCCCATTCTGTAGGTTGCCTGTTCACTCTGATGGTAGTTTCTTTTGCTGTGCAGAAGTTCTTTAGTTTAATTAGATCCCATTTGTCAATTTTGGCTTTTGTTGCCATTGCTTTTGGTGTTTTAGACATGAAGTCCTTGCCCATGCCTATGTCCTGAATGGTATTACCTAGGTTTTTTTCTAGGGTTTTTATGGTTTTAGGTCTACCATGTAAGTCTTTAATCCAGCTTGAATTAATTTTTGTATAAGGTGTAAGGAAGGGGTCCAGTTTCAGCTTTCTACATATGGCTAGCAAGTTTTCCCAGCACCATTTATTAAATAGGGAATCCTTTCCCCATTCTTTGTTTTTCTCAGGTTTGTCAAAGATCAGATAGTTGTAGATATGCGGCTTTATTTCTGAGGGCTCTGTTCTGTTCCATTGGTCTACAGCTCTGTTTTGGTACCAGTACCATGCTGTTTTGGTTACTGTAGCCTTGTAGTATAGTTTGAAGTCAGGTAGCATGATGCCTCCAGCTTTGCTATTTTGGCTTAGGATTGACTTGGCAATGCGGGCTCTTTTTTGGTTCCATATGAACTTTAAAATAGTTTTTTCCAATTCTGTGAAGAAAGTCATTGGTAGCTTGATGGGGATGGCATTGAATCTATAAATTACCTTGGGAAGTATGGCCATTTTCACGATATTGATTCTTCCTACTCATGAGCATGGAATGTTCTTCCATTTGTTTTTATCCTCTTTTATTTCATTGAGCAGTGGTTTGTAGTTCCCCTTGAAGAGGTCCTTCATATCTCTTGTAAGTTGGATTCCTAGGTATTTTATTCTCTTTGAAGCAATTGTGAATGGGAGTTCACTCATGATTTGGCTCTCTGTTTGTCTGTTAATGGTGTATAAGAATGCTTGTGATTTTTGTACATTGATTTTGTATCCTGAGACTTTGCTGAAGTTGCTTATCAGCTTAAGGAGATTTTGGGCTGAGACGATGGGGTTTTCTAGATATACAATCATGTCATCTGCAAACAGGGACAATTTGACTTCCTCTTTTCTTAGTTGAATGCCCTGTATTTCCTTCTCTTGCCTGATTGCCCTGGCCAGAACTTCCAACATTATGTTGAATAGGAGTGGTGAGAGAGGGCATCCCTGTCTTGTGCCAGCTTTCAAAGGGAATGAGAAGCTTTTATTTTTTAAAGTACTACTTGTTTACTTTTGCTTTTGTTACCTGTGCTTTTCACGTCATATCCAAGATCAATGTCATACAGCTTTTCTCTTATATTTTCTTCTAGGTGTTTTAAACAGTTTCAGGTCATATGGTTAAGTCTTTAATCCATTTTGAGTTTATTTTTCTATATGGTGTAAGATGAGGATCCAATCTCTTTTTTTTGTGCGTGTTTTTTTTTTTTTTGCCAATGGATATCCAGTTTTCCCAATACCATTTGTTGAAAACACTACCGTTTCCTCATTATGTATTCTTGGCACCTTTGTCAAAAGTCAGTTCACCATACAGTTGTGCATTTATTTCTGGGCTGTGTATTCTTTTCTATTGGTCTATATGTATGTCTTTATGCCAGTATTATACTGTTTTGATTACTGTAGCTTTGTAATATGTTTCAAAATCAGGACATGTGAAGACTCCAGCTTTGTTCTTCTTTCTCATGATTGTATTGGCTATTTTAGGTCCTTTGTTATTCCATATGAATTTTAGATTTTTCTATTTCTGTAAAAAATACCACTGGGCTTCCCATAGGGATTGCATTGAACGTGTAGATTGTTCTGGGTACTATGAACATTTTAACAATATCAAGTCTTCCAATCTATGAACACAGTATTTCTTTCCATTTGTTTATGTCTGCTTTAATTTCTTGTAGCAGTGTTTTATAGTTTTCAGTGTACAATACTTTTGCCTTCTTGGTGAAGTTTTTTCCTAAGTATTTTATTCATGTTTATGCCTTGTAAATGAAATTGTTTTCTTTCTTAATTTTCCTTTTGACTGTTTAGTGCTAGTGTACAGAAACACAACTAAGTTTTCCTTGTTGTCTTTTCAATCCAGCAACTTTGCTGAATTCATTTATTAGTTCTAGCAGTTTTTTAAATGGAATCTTTAGGGTTTTCTACATATAAGATGTCATCTTAAACAGACAGCATTTTGCTTCTTCCTTTCTGATATGGATGCCTTTAATTTCTTTCTATTGCCTAGTTGTTCTGGCTAGGGCTTCCAGTACTACGTTCGATAGAAGTGGCAAGAATGGGCATCCTTGCCTTGTTCCTGATCTTAGAGGAAGAGCTTTCAGTTTTTCACCATACAGTATGTTAGCTGTGGGCTTCTCATATATGGTCTTTATTATGTTGCTATAATTTCTTTTCATTCCTAGGTTCTGTTTTTATCATGAAAGTGTGCTGACTTTTGTCAAATACTTTTTTGGGGGCATATATTAAGATGATCATGTGCTTTTTCATCCCTCAATCTGTTAATGTGATGTATCAAATTCAATAATGTTCTTATGTTGAGCCATCCTTGCATCCCAGGGATAAATTCCATTTGGTATGATGTATGATTCTTTTACTGTGTTGTTGAATTTGATTTGCTAGGTTTTTTGTTGAAGATTTTTGCATCTATCTTCATCACAGATAGTGGCCTACAGTTTTATTTTCTTGTGGTGTTTTTAATCTGGCTTTCCTATCAGAGTAATGCTGGCCTCATAAAATGAATCTGGATGTGTTCCCTACTCTTCAATTTTTTGTAAGAGTTTGAGAAGAATTGGCATTAATTCTTTTTTAAACGTTTGGTAGAATTCACCAGTGAAGCCATCTGGTCCTGAGATTTTCTTTGTTGGAAGATTTTTAATTACTGCTTCAATAGCCTTATTAATTATATTTTGTTTAGGCTTTAAAATTCTTCATTATTTACCATTCATAGTCTTGGTAGACTATAGACTTCTAGGAATTTATCCATTGTTTTCCACATGATCCAATTTGTTGACTTATAATTGTTCACAATAATCTCTTTTAATCCTTTTTACTTCTGTAGAGTCAGTTGTAATGTCTCCTCTTTCATTTCTTTTCCTTTCCTTTTTTTTTTTTTTTTTTTGAGATGGAGTCTCACTCTGTCACCCAGGCAGGAGTGCAGTGGCGTGATCTTGGCTCACTGCAACCTCCACCTTCCAGGTTTCAGCAATTCTCCTGCCTCAGCCTCTGGAGTAGCTGGGAGTACAGGTGTACGCCACCACTCCTGGCTAGGCTTTTGTATTTTTAGTAGAGATGGGGTTTCACCATGTTGGCCAGGCTGGTCTTGAACTCCTGACCTCAAGTGATCCACCCGCCTCAGCCTCCCAAATTGCTGAGATTACAGGTGTGGGCCACCATGCCCATTTTAATCTTCTTAAATTTGTTAAGACTTATTTTGTGACCTAACTTGTGATCTGTTTTGAAGAATGTCCTATGTGTGCATGAGAACAATGTATATTCTGCAGCTGTTGGGTATGGTGTTTTGTATGTCTGTTAGATACATTTGGTCTGTAGTGTTGTTCAAGTCCTCTGTTTCCTTACCAAGCTTCTGTCTCTTCTATTATTTAAAGTGGGGTATGAAATCTCCTACTATTATTGTCTTGCTGCATATTTCTCCCTTCAGTTCTGTCACTGTTTGCTTCATCTATTTGGGTGCTCTGATGCTGGGTACATTTATATAACAATTTACAATTGCTATATCTTCCTGGTGAATTATCCCTCTTATCATTACGTAATGTCCTTCTTTGTCTCTTGTGTCAGTTTTTGACAAAAAGTATATTTTGTGTGATAAAAGTATGGCTACTCCTACTCTATTTTGGTTTCCATTTGCATGAAGTATCTTTTTCCATCCCTCTTCTTTCAGCTGATGTGTCCCCTTATATCTAAGTGAATCTCTTGTAGACAGCATATAGTTGGATGTTATTTTTAAAACTCATTCAGCCACTCTGTGTCTTTTGCTTAGGCAGTTTAATCCATTTACATTTAAAGTAATTTTGAATAGAGAGGAAGTTACCATTGCCATTTTGTTGTTTTCTGTCTTATCCTCTCTTGCAGTTTTCCTTTCTGTTTTCATTTATTTTTTTTTTTTTTAGTGACATGCTTTGATTCCTTTATCATTTTCTTTTGTATCTTCTAAAGGTATTTTCTTTGTGGTTACCATGGGGCTAACACAAAACATTTTACAATTATAACAAAATATTTTAAGCTGATAACAACTTAACTTCAAGTGCATACAAAAACTATTCTATCACTACCCCCACCCACTTTATATTATTTATGTCACAAAGTAGATCTTGTTATACTGTGTATCCATTTGCATATTTTTATAGTTATAGATACTCTACTTTTATTTAAATTCTATAGAATTAAAAGTGATTTATATACTACTATTACAGTGTTACAGTATTCTGTATTTGTCTATATATTTACCTTTATCAGCAAGCTTTATACTTCCCTGTTCGTGTTACTGTTTAGTGTCTTTTCATTTCAACTTGAAGGACTCCCTTTAGCCTTTCTTGGATGGCAGGTGTAGTGGTGATGAACTCCCACAGCTTCTGAATATCTAGGAGAGTCTTTATTGCTCCATTTTTGAAGAATAGTTTTGCCAGAGATACTATTCTTTGTTGGCAATTTTTTTTTTCATTCAGCACTTTGAATATATTATCCCATTCTCATATTGCCTCCAAAGTTTCTGCTATGAAATCCACCGATAGTCTTATGAAGTTTCCCTTGTTTGTGATGATTCAGTTTTCTTTTGTTGTTTCAAAATTCTGTCTTTTATTTCTGACAGTTTGATTATAATGTGTCTTAGTGTTGACTTCATTGGATTCATCTTCTTTGGGATCCACTGGGCTTCTTGAATTTGGATATACATTTCCAGCCCCAGATTTGGGGAGTTGTTTCCACTATTTCTTTAAAGAAGCTTTCTGCCTCCTTTTTTCTCTCTTCTTCACAGACTACACACACACACACACACACACACACACACACACCTGCTTAATGGTGTACCATAAGTCCCCTAGGTTTTCTTCATTCTTTTTTTCTTTTTGCTTCTCTGACGGGATAATTTCAAATGATCTGTCTTCAAGTTTGTTGGTTCTTTCTTCAGCTTGATCAAGTCTGCTGTTGAACCCTCTAGGGAATTTTTAAAAGTTTAGTTATTGCACTCTTCAGCTCCAAACTTTGTTTGGTTCTTTTATATTTTCTATTTCTTTGTTGAAATACTCATTTTGTTCACACATAGTTTCTCTGAGTTTGATTAACATATTTATGATGGTTACCTTGAATTCTTTGTCAAGCAATTCACATACCTGTTTTTTAAGGGTTTGTTTCTGGAAATTTATTTTGCTCCTTTGATTGGCCTATTTCCCTGTTTCTTCACGTTCTTATAACTTTGTGTTGGTATCTACACATTTGACAAAGTAACCACCTCTCTCAGTTTTTTCAGACTGGCTTTGTACAGAGAAAGACTTTTGCCAATCAGCCTGATTAGAGGTTCTGGGAGTCTTTCAAGCTTTTTCTCTGATGTGTCTTCTCTAAACTTGTGTGTTTAGATTTTTACTTAGATTTGCTGGCTTCTTTTTTTTTTTCAGGAGCTTGTAATCTCTTGCTCCCTCTGATTCCTCTGATATACTGAAGGTCTTCTAAAGCAGCAGGACATCACCCAGCTCTTTTTTGTTCTCAGTGACCCCCAGGAATCTAGAATATGCTGGGTCCTGTCAGTGTCCTATGTCAGGCTAGAAGGAATTCAGCCCCTTGGGCAGCCCCCTAAAATGCTAGAATGTTGAACACATGCTCCATTCTTCTCTTTCCCCTTGAGATAGAGCTAACCAAGTTGTATTTTCCTGTGTCTGCTATACTGCAGTTTCTTGAGCAGTAGCACACTGCCAAGCTCTTGCTCTCAGTGCCCTAATGCATCTAGAGTATGCCAGGCCGTGTCAGTGCTCTGAGAGAGATGACACAGAAGCCAGTCCCTTGGGCAGCTCCCCTCAGAAGTCAGAATGTTGGATGTTTATGGTCCAGTCTTCTCTGTCCATGGAGAAGCTTGGAGCTGAGAGTTTCCTTCTGCATGATGATGTTCCCTCCAAAATTCATGTTAAAATGTAATCCCCAATACAACAATATTAAGAGGTGTGGCCTTTAGGAGGTGATTAAGTCATGAAGGCTTGCCTTTATGAATGGAATTTGAGGTTGAAGGGAGTGTGTTCTTGCTCTTCTGCTCCTTCCACCATGTGAGAACACCTAGACAGGCCTTCACCAGACACTGAACCTGTTGGTGCCTTGATCTTGGAATTCCCAGCCACCAAGATTGTGAGAAATAAATGTCTATTGTTTATAAATTACCCAGGTCTGTGGCATTTTGTTATAGTAGCACAAATGGACTAAAACACCTCCTGATTGACTCGGAGTATGCAAGGACAATGGTGAGAGGGTGCAATGAATTTTCCTGTTGGCTTACAGTGGCTAATTTTGCACTTGCCTGGGGTGTGGGAGTATCCTAACTGGTTTCTGGATTTCTCACAAAGGGAACTGGTCTATGTTTTGGTGTTGAATTGGTATTTCCACAGAAGGAAAGAATGTCTGGGGATTCCTATTCTACAATCTCGCAGATGTCACTACTAGACTTTTCTTAAGTTGGCTTCCTTAATAACACAATCTCACTGATTAATAGCCACTAAATTATATGAAGAATAAGTCTCAGCCAAACTAATGGTGCTGTAGTCAATGTGGCTGAATTATACGTAGACAAGCTAGAAGAGAACAAGCATTTTTGGAAAAAGCTTTCATTCAAGCTGTGTCACACACTCATACTGATAACCAATTTTATAATTAATAAGCCAACTGGTTGTTTGATGAAAATGGCTGGGTGTATAAAGATGGCAATCAGTTTTTGGAGTATAGTAGTAAATGGGTTAATTTATTAAACAGCTGAAGCATTTATGCATATAGAAAGCCCCAAAGCTTTCCCACTAATACAGATTACCATGAGAACCAAACAAAAGGGTGTTAGAAGCGTTTAACAACAAAAATGTTTTTTTGAGATCTGAAGTCTAATTTCTAGTATGTCAGTATTGGTATCTATTATTATTTTTATTACACATTATGCCACTAGTGACATTTTATATTTAATTCCCAAAATGATTATTTGCCTATTATTTCATTTTATTTTTGTATCATCCCCATGAGGTAGAGCCTGAGGAAATGGGCCAATACATATTTTTATTGCTAAGTTAGTACATAGATACTAATTGCGGAAACAATCTGTTCAGAGACCATAGAGCTTTGGTACTGATTGTTATTATGGTTTAGTACATCCATTATAACTTACAGTAGACATCCTACCTCATAAAACATTTTGAAATATACTACACGTATAACTTTCTTAGCCCTTAAAAATGAACAAGCACATTTTAAAATGAGCTACAATTACAATATTCTGTTTCACTAGTTTAAAACCTTTCTTTTGGATTTGATTTTTCTTTGAAATTTGGAAGAGAAAGAGAGCCAGGAATACCTTAGAATTTTCTCCTCTAGCTAATGAGACTATTTTGTGCTTTAATATAAATGAATTTATTCTATAATTTCTATCTATTATGAAACAATTCAAATAGAAAGCTCAATATGCCTTCCTAAGATTCATGGTGTAATTTATCACGAGGCAAGGAGATCACACTGTACCCTTTCAACTTAACTTTAATTTTGGTTTCCAAACAATATATATCTCTTTCAAGGTTAAAAGCACTGAAAGTACACATGAACACTAAGGAAAATCTTAAAATTTCCTGAAATGCATTAGCTATCCTATTTATATAACAAATATCTTGTTTGTTTATGATGATCTACATCATTAATCCAGATAAATAAACGTTGAAGTGAAGGGAGCTGGGTTTGCTGTGTTGTCTATTGCCCAGCAACCAATGGTTACAACTGTTTTTCAGCAGAGCACTGCTGCAAAGACTTAGAGCTTTTGCAGCATATGCTACTTTGTATATCTATATAGATACAGGCAGGAAAGCCTAAGAACTCATACTTACTATTGGTTAGCTGGGTAAATTTGGGGTATTACTTTTTAAAAATTTTACTTCCCTAAAACATTTATGTTTGTCACAATTAGGGTACTAGGTACACAGAAGCTTTCTAATAGTATCTATATACTTGAAATACTTAATTTTTTGACAAAAGCATAAATGTCTACCAAGTTAATTCTATGCTTTTATTCTTTAAAGGACATTTTTATGAACTTTGAAAAAATTATAACAGTAATATATGCTTATAATAAATATAATGTAAAATACTATATGTATACAAGAAAAACTAAAAATGCCCTTCGCATTCTTAATTCCCTAGCTCCATCCTCTGAGGTAACAACCCTTCAATAGATTACGTATTCTTCAACCTAGCATATCCTTATTAATGATATAAAGCAAATAGCTTTTAAAACCTATAATCATCTTTATTCTATTGTTGGAGATTATTTCTCTTATAAGTTTTGTTTATATGCTTTTTTTGGGAAGTAATATAATGGCAGTATTTCATGCTTGATGTAAAGTAACAGGCACTTTATCTTTGAGATAGATGAGCCTCTTTAAATTGAAAAACATACTTGTAGGTCTATGCATAAGATACTGCTTATCATCTCTGCCAACAAATCTTCTATTCAATAGATGTGCACTTAGAGTATCTATTCTGAATGCTTGATGCTATGCAGTGTTTGTGCTACAAAGAAGCTGAAGATACATGCTCTTTCTGTCATCAACCTGTCCTATGGCTGTGGTAAGTTACTACCTTTCTGAGTCTCAGTTTCTTCATTATTCAATAATTCTTCATTATTCGAGTAGTTATTATGTGAAACAATAATAATAGATAATGGGCATATTTCCTACCTTCACCATCAGAGCTTACTAGTCTTTGATATTCTTTAGTGGATACAGTGAAAAGTATAAAGACAAGATAGACACATTTACTATGTTCACTGACATTAATAAATGTTTGGAAGGGAGGGAGTCATGTCCAAGAGTAAGCGAACACAGTAGCTTCTGTGGCTTGGCCCTCTTAGCAGTTTGAAATAATTTACAAACAAAGGAAATGTCCTTTTGACATTCAATAAAAGTGGTAACCTTATCTTCTATTCTTTAAGGAGAAGTGCTATATTAGAAAGAACATGAGACCTGATTCTCCCAAGTCCTCCTTCTCCCATAAACTACCTAGTCTGAGCCAATAAATCAAGATCTCAAATTCTTTTATGTATAAAAAATAATTAATATCTACTCTCCTTTCATAATCAAACACATTTTTAGTTAGCAGTTATTATGTGAAGCAATATAACAAATGAGACACAGCTTTCCTCGTTAGTCTCCCAAATAAAAACTCTACATATGTTCACTTTAAAGTTAAAAAAAAAAAACTGTAAAAATAAAGTTCTTTTTCTTTTGAGCCCAAAGCTGAGGACACTGATACTGTCCATAGATAGTGATGTTTCTTAAGGCTACATTCCCAGAGATGACTATAAAATTATGAAATTTGAGCTACTTATTCTTGGCCTTTTATTATAAAAATATATTTCATTTTGAAAATGAGACAAGGCCAAGTGTTAAAAGATATAGCTCAAGCTTAGGCAGTTCAAGAACTATTTCCTACTCAGAAACAGAGTTCATTATAAATTATGTTTCTGTTTATTGTTTATTATAGAAAAACATAGTATTAACATGCAAACCAATACATCAATCAATTCATATTGTATAATATAATCCAGTGGTTCCCCAAGTGTATTCCTTGGAACACTGGTACTGTATGATACGACCTACATAAAAGACGGTTCTATAATCAAATAATTGTTAAAAATGCTGGGCTAAACAAGGTAATGTGGTGTTTTCTTTTCCATTAGGATTCCCTT